>NC_000004.12:131042593-131345623 GCF_000001405.40 Homo sapiens | reverse complement strand
AAGTTACTATGACTGTGTATCTTGTTTGCTTCCCATTTTTCTCTATTGCAGACAGTGCTGCAGTGAGAAAATCAATACACACGTAGCTGGTAGCATTTTTTAAAGTATGGATTATTAAAGTGCTCAAATTGCTAGGATTACATATGAAGGTGTTTTTCTTTTATAGTCAGTGTTCTCAACTGTGTGATGTTGAATCATCCCTATTATAGCTTACTGATATCATGAGCATATCTTTTGTTTTTTTTTTTTTTTAGCTAGCAATAATTAGTACATCCTAACTTAAAAATGTTAAGCTAATGCAAAGCTATTTTCCAAATACATGCTAGAGATACGTTGGGACCAAAAAGGTCAGTGTGTTCATGTGTACATACAGACAATCCCTGTCCAGGTTCCAACTCCTCTGGGGTTACTGAAGAAAAGTAGAATAGGGACTAATAAAAAAGGGTAACTATGTTTTACCTAACTGAACCGAATTATAATTCTATTTTTATTGAGATATGAATAAGGACAAGCTGCCTGCCCTTGTATTTTTTATGTAAATAGACTCTATTGTGGAAAACACATTGATTTTTCAGAGACTCTGGTGCTTCTCCACCCTATAGTCATCTTATGTGGGACATCAAGCTCTTTTTAAACCTCATTCTCCTCTCCTCTACTCCTGACACTGGCAGAACACTGTCCTCTTTCAAATTAAATGGCATTAATTCAGCCACCTGCAGAGGTGGCGGATCCATTCTGCCTGGGATAAATTTGCATATTCTCAATGAACATGCACATTTTTCAAAAGCTATTTACCCTGTTAACTTTACCAAGTTGTTCCATTTTACTCCCAACTCTAGAAGGTAGAAAGGAAGGTTGGCAAATTATCAAACCATGAAAATTATTCAGATAAAAATGCCTCTTTTGGGAAGCACTTCATATTCTCTTTACAATTGAATTATTTAGAATTTTGGTTTCATATTGGAGACTTATTTAAATTTCTGACAAGTAGTATGTTTTGTTCAACACCATATTGTATGCATTTAAACTACAAATATACAAAAATTGCTGTTTAGAAAATACTTACCAATTTACACTATTCTACAGGGTATTGTAGTGCTTGAATTTTCCTCATTGCCAACACTGATAAATTTTAATTCTTAAAAATCTTATAGATGACAATATTTTATTATTTGATTTGCATTTTTCCTCTCGAAAACTCATTTCATATACTTATAAGCCACTTACATATTTTTGTAATAAGATATTAGTTTGGGGTTTCATGATTTTTTTAAAAAAATGCTGTGTAAAATCTCTTTGTATATTAAGAAAGCTGGAGTTTTTATCTCAAAGATATTCCATTCTTTTATATCCCAGCTTGTCATATGTATTTTGGCTTTTTCCTTTTGAGTTTCTTTGTATTTGTTTCATCAAGCTGTTATCAAATAAAGTCTTTTTTTCCTGTAATGCTTATGAATTTTAGTATTACTTAGAAAGCCCTTGGATTAGTGCTATAACTACTATTTCTGAATTTCAGTGTTCATATCTGTAATATAACACATAAGATTTCTGTTGTTAGATTTAGACTAATCTTTAAAAAAGCACTTGATACATAAGAAAAGTTTAATAACTCTTAGTCCTTTTATTTTTGCCATAGGGCTATATGTTAAGTCTCTACATCAGCCTCTTCAAAAAACAGTATTATTTAGTCATTATACTTTATCTCAAAGTCCTTTAACATTTGCTCAAATTTTGATATTTCGCCCATTCCTCAAGCTGCTTATTTCTAGATCGTGATAATATTTTCTTCATTGATATGGAACCAAATTTTTCCTTAAAATTTTTTGTTGCTTTGGAAAAGGCATCCAATGAGCTAAACTATGATGCATTCAGGAAATTGAATTAGAAGAACTTAGAGGTCTATTTGTTGCAGATAAGCTATACTGGTAAGTTATACAACAAGATTAATAATACCTGAATTCATTTTCAAAAGGTGAATTACATCTCTCAAAGTTCTGTATCTCAGCTTGTTTGCCAAAAGTAGCTATCTTCTCGTATTCACACCTGGATTAGTTATATATTACTATGTAACAAATTATCCCAAACCTTAGCAGCTTAAAGCAACACACATTATGTCAAATGTTTCCTGAGCTTCTGCAGTCTGTGAAAAGCTTAATTGTATAAATCTGGCTCATGGCATCTCACAAGATTGCAGTTGAAATATCGGCCAGAGCTGCCATTGCTGAATACTTAACTTGGTTGAGAATCTTCTTCTGAGCACTGTTGGCAGTACAACTCATTTCCTCACCACATCTGACTCCGAACAAATAATCAGAGAGAGAGGGCAAGGCGATAGCTAGACCATCTTTTAAGATTTAGTCTCTAAAGTAACATATCATCACTTTTGCCACATGCCATTTGTCCTAGAGACTAACTCTGATACAATGTAGGAGAATAGATAAAGTCATATATACCAAGCAATGGAGTTAATGGAAGCTGATTGCTACAGTGTTTTTTTTTACATCATGTCTTTCAGCTTCTTGTATTAAGAAGTAGAGTTTATTTTTTTAACCCTTTATTTATCAGTTCTGGTTTTACTTTGCTAGACCAAGACTATGTAGAGAAAGGGATTATTTGCCAGTGTCCAGCCTAATCATCATAAAATCATGAATGATTTGGTTCACTCACTTAGAAATAAACCACCGCCATTTCTTGCCTGTTCTAGCTAGATAAACATTCATAGACTATGTGGAAGAAAGCCCAGTTGTCCCAGTGGCTCTAGATATGAGACCGAGCCAATATATTTAGAGCTACCTACCCAATCTGCAGTTCATCAAAAACAGGTAAGTCAGTCCAACTGAAGCTTAAAAACAAGCATAGCTTATACATAAGCAATGATTTTACGCCATTAAATTTTGAGTAGTATGTTACCTATCAATTAATACCTAATATATTCTGCAAGAATGGTGCAAGAAAGTTGTTTGGATGCAAATATTTAAATATATAAAAATAAATGGTTTCTCAGTTATATAATTAAGGTTTATGCTATTAATTTCTCATTATGACAGAAATAGCTAGTTGCTTAGCATTGCTGGTTATGTTTTTATTGTATCTCCGTCCCTAGCCTATCTATCTATGTGCTGCTCTGTAAATCTGGAGCTGGGTGTATGCAAGTTGGATTTCTGAAGCTCCTTGGCAACCTACCCTAGCTGTTAATTTTTGCCAGTGGAAGGCAGTACAAGGAGATTAGAAGATAGAAAAAGAGATACTTTTCTTCTTCCCTCCTCACTTTTCCTCCTTTGGACTTTGACTAATATGTGGCATCATTTTCTTTAACCTATTATCAGCTATATTTAAATAAACCCATGGTCAGTTTGTGAGATGACTGTGTGTAGAGGAAAGAGAAAATATTCTTGTATTTCAAGAATTTACACTAAATCCTAGGTTCCAAAACTCCACTGCGATCCAAGATTATGATGTGATCCTCTGGAGGTCAAATGATATATGGAGTTTTACTGTGAGCTGTCTCACATCAAGTTCAGAGGGCCTACACATATATTTTTGGGTTATTTTCCCAGTACCTAATTGTATAACTACCACAGGCCTGCTCAACAAATGGTGAAATCTCTGCATCATCCCCTTTACCCATGGAGTGAGACTATTATTTGAGGAAGGGTCAATGTAAATTCCAGGAATTTCTCCCTACCAGAATAATGAGCTATTCATAATATATTATCTTCGTGGAATTTCAGAGATCATTGGCGCAATCAAAGACTTGGAAATGGAAGGATGGCATCTCTCCTTTCCCGTTTTCTGCCTCTTTGGCTTGGACAAAAGTTTGCTGAATCATAGATAAGAATTATTAATTGTAATAAACTTAATTAGATGGTGACTTCAGTTGCAGGTGAAATGTATTATAGCACCGAACACCAGGACACATTTCTATGTAACTATTGCAAAGAACAGCAGAAGCATTTTCTTTTTACTAGCTGAGACAAAAGTGCAACTTCACTCACTTTGGGGCTGTGTCAATATTCTTGCTTCTTGCCATATTATAGTCAGGCTGACATTACATTAAACTATTATTCTGGTCCACTTTACTGAGGACATAAGTTGACCGAATTTGATGATCAGAAAGTAACGAGCTCAAAGATGCCTCTCTAAGATGTGTGCACAGTAAGCTGAGTTAAACTCAGGAAGTTGCCAAAACCTGTAATGCCAATTAAGTTTCTCAGGTTCCAGTGGTGTCTGGCATGCCAGAATAATTACTCTAAAGTAAATATATACATATATATGTTTCTGAATCTTGTAATCCTTACAATCAAGAAATAGGCCAAATGTGTTGAGCATATTGAAAATTGAGATACCATATGCAAATTTGTGTGTATTTGTCTGTCCTATTTACTGAAAAGCTCATAAGATTTCCAGTTTTCAGTGAGGCCTAAAGCAAGAAAATGCTCTGAAGGATATTTAGACAACTCTTCCTATTAGTTTTTATAATTAAGTACATCCAGTGGTACTTGAAGCATTTATGGTAAAACAGGATACTCTACAGAGTGACTACCAAGCCACATTCAGAATATTATGGTGCAAGTGCTTAGGGTTTTAGGGTAAAGCCATGTTCCCTTCTGTGGATAATTACTCTCTTCTGAGAAAAGCTTCCTGTCCCTCTATCTTTCCCACTTGTCAGAATCCTGAATTCCACCTAGTAAAACATTATTTGTGGTTATCATTGATTGGTGTAGAGTTCAGGGTTACCAAAAAGGGAATGTTTTTAACAGAGGAAATAATGGTTCCATTGAATGGGAACACAACACTAGAACTTTGCAGTTTGAAGCTACACATGCCACTGAATATTTAGTCAAAAAAGTAAATATCTGTACTGGCTGGGATGACAACTGATCACAATTGCCAGAGGGGGAACTTTTTGGGTTGCTGACACACAGTGAGAACAGGGAGAACAATATCTGAAACTTGGAAGTATTTTTAGGGATTTTATTAGTTGATGATCAACCACATAAGTTAATTAAAAAAATACTGTAACCTTACAAAGGCAGAGGTACTTGGGAATGTAGAGTATTGGGGAATAAAGTTTTGATTACCTTATCAGATATAGAACCCTGACCAGCTGAGGTACTAGATGAGAATAAAGAAAATATGGAATAACTGGTGGGAGAATAAAGTTATTATAACAAACTGTAGCTTTATTACCATGAACACAAACAAAACAGTATTACTATGTGTATTTTCTCCCTCTCTTGATGATCTGTCAATTTATCTATCTGTCTATCTATCTATCTATCTATCTAATTTACCTACCATCTATTATCTGTCCATCTACTACATACTTACCTTCTTTTTTATTTCTCTGATTTCAGATTAGTAGTGGTGGTTAATTTCAAATGTTAGTCTTCAAATTATGGAATATACAAGAGTGGGATTGTATTAAAAATCAGATTTAATAAAAACTGGAAAGGGATATAGTAGCTATTGTTTCTCTTATTTTTGGAAAGAGAATAAGGTAATTTTTGCCTTCAGAATATGCTAGTCAGAATCAGCCCACTCTTCAGTAATATACTGTAGGATTCTGCATTCCAAAGTTCTTTTGCAATTGTTTTCTTATTAGGAGGACAGGAGAAATTGTATTATTTTCCTTTTGCATTCCAACTGTCTTCCTACTTCTTCCTATTTCTCTAAGCTAATGGTCCTTCAAGCTTCTAGCTCTATCCTAAATGATCTCTTCTCCAATAGTCACAGTCTGTTCTCCAAAGTGTGAATTCTTCAAGTGCACACATCTCCTGGGGAGGAGGCCCTTCAACAATGCTCCTAGATTTTAGAAACTGCACCTCTTCTGTTTTTGTTCCCTCAGTTATAAAAATGATAGCTGCTTGCTAAAATTTCTATTCTCTACATCTCTGTCTCTCACACCTTTTTAGATCACTGATGCCCATCAATTTTTTATTAAATTATATTAATATGAAACACCTAATGTAGCTTATGTAGCATTTTTGTTTGTTTTTGACAGATGATAGGATTGTTATTACCTCAATTACCATGATAATAAGCATTGTAATTTTTACTGTTACTTATTCTTACTCAAAATAAAGTTCTCAAACCTCGGCCCTCTTAAAGCTATGTTTAATCATTCTGGTCAAATGGAGCTGAGTCTAAGTGATATGATGTCCTTAAAAAGAGAATGGAGACCCTTTTCTTCTCACTTCCCTCTTCACTTAAACTGGAATATAAACATGAGTTTAAGCTATTCTGCACCTCACACAGAAAGTGAAACATCTTATGAATATGAATATGAAGGTGATATGAAGAAGGAAACAGTCAGGGTTACATCATGGAGTAGAACTGCACTGCACGTGTGTACTTTTATGAGAGTGAAATACATTTCACCTTGCTTAAGCCAATGTTATTTTAGCAATTATATTATTTATATTATCACAGACTTAGTTAAAATTTGCATTATTGTTAATAGTATAGGAGAACTAAAATATAAGGTGTAAATGTATTTGTTGGTTATTCATTTGGATGTTTGTGGCGATCTCAGCTCACTGCAACCTCTGCCTCCTGGGTTCAACCAATTCTCCTGCCTCAGCCCTCCCAGTAGCTGGGATTACAGACAGGCACCACCATGCCCAGCTAATTTTTAATATTTTTAGTAGGGATGGAATTTCACCATCTTGGCCAGGCTGATCTTGAACTCCTAGCCTCAGGTGATCCACAAGCCTCGGCTTTCCAAAATGCTGAGATTACAGGCATGAGCCACTGTGCCCAGCCATGCAGTATTTTTTTCTGTACCTTTTCTATGGTTAGATATGTTTAGATAGACAAATACTTACCACTCTGTTATAATTGCCTGCAGTATTCAGTGCCCGAACATGCTGTAACAGGTTTGTAGTCTAGGAGCAATATGCTATGCCATATAGCCTACCTGTGTAGTGGGCTGCACTATCTAGGTTTGTGTCAGTACATTTATTCTGTGATGTTCACACAAGAATGAAATCACCTAAGAATGCATTTCTCAGAAAGTTTTCCCATCATTAAGTGACACATGGCTGTATTTAAAAATTTCTAAATTAGAGCAAGTATATTTCAAATATAACTTTGGTGCTATATGCCCATTTTACTATGTGTGCACTGTTAAAACACATTAAAGGGTGAAGCAGTTATCTCCTAGACTTGTTTAAAGGGAGGTATAATCAGATCTTTCATGGCAATTCTTTGAGTAAGGCTGTATTAGTTCGTTCTCACACTGCTATGAAGAAATACCTGAGACTGGGTAATTTATAAAGGAAAGAGGTTTAATTAATTCAGTTCTGCATTTCTGGGGAGGCCTCAGAAAACTTACAATCATGGCAGAAGGCAAAGGAGAAGCAGGCACCTTCTTCCCAGGGTGGCAGGACAGAGTGAGTGCAAGTAGGAGAAATGCCAGATGCTTATAAAACCATCAGATATCATGAGACTCGTTCATTATCATGAGAACAGCATGAGGGAAAATGCCCCCATGATCCAATTACCTCCATCTGTTCCCGCCCTTGACATGTGGAAATTATGGGGATTACAATTCAAGATGAGATTTGGGTGGAGACACAGCTAAACCATATCAAAGACACAACATGAAATTAATATGCCTGTGGACAAAGAAACCATGTAGTGACTGCTTATGTGAATCCAAAACAAGATGAATCAAAGACTTAATATTCTATATTCCTGGCATTGTTTTACCAGAAAAAAATGTACGTCATTAGAAGACATCAAAATGTAACTAGTAGCAGAGATGTGTTTTTTTCTTTTTCATTATAATAGTTCTGCTAAGCAACATTGAAGAGGTCACTTAGTAAGTAGTTTAAAACACACTCATGCTAAGATACTTGGTTTTATGTTTCTGCTTTTGTTATTTTTTTTAAGTTTCAAGAGCTCAATAGTTTTGTGAAAGAGAAAATCCTGGTTTTTGCTTTTATGTTACTTTATAATATTTCTTAATGTGCATTTAAACTAAAAGTACAAATCATTGAAACAAATTTGAGTTATTATTGTGTGAAAGATTTTGAGAGATTTGAACAAAATTTATCATTTTTAGCAACATTTTTTGAGCAAAGATGTCTATTTCTCTGAAGGTACATCCTGTTGTTAAATGCCATATCAGTCAGGAAAACATATATCCCATATGAAAGTACAATTTTTTTGATTTGCAAAATATTTTTTCTCCGGTCTTTAACTCTGTTGAATATTACTGCTAAATATATAATTATTTTTCCAAGCATTTCTTTTTGTAGGACATAGTAATCATTACTAATCATTAAGGAATTCAGTTTTCCTTACAAAGTTGAAATGATTTGCTAATAAGAACTCAGAACTAAACTATATTTTTAGCATCTACAAAGAAGAAATAGGCATAGGTAGGCAAAAAAAGGATCTCAGAGTATTACAAAATTCTTACAAATGAACTTTATAACTCTACTGCATCAAGAAATATTGTTTTCATTGGCCAGAGGTATGCAACAAACCCAGAATTCACAAATTCTCCATTCTTAAACGAAAAAAATTCTTTTTTTGTTTTTTTTTTTTTGTTTTGACAGAGTCTCGCTCTGTCACCCAGGCTGGAGTGCAGTGGCATAATCTTGGCTCACTGAAATATCCACCTGCTGGGTTTAAACAATTCTCTGCCTCAGCCTCCCGAAGAGCTGGGATTACAGGCAGATGCCACCACACCTGGCTAATTTTTGTATTTTTAGTAGAGATGGGGTTTCACCATCTTGGCCAGGTTGGTCTTGAACTCCTGACCTTGTGGTCCACCCGCCTCAGCCTCCCAAAGTGCTGGGATTATAGGCATGAGCCACCACGCCCAGCCAAAATCCTCAATTTTAACATCCGATTTAGTTCATAGCTATACATTTGATCCACAATAACTGTTTGGTTTTCAGATTACTACTAACTATGGTAAGATATTATGATAAGCCAAAGACTATGAAATATCTCTTCAGTTATTCTAGCTGGTTCTAAATATTTCAGATTGTATAAATTTTTAACATATCTTCATATATGAATCCAAAGAGAGTAGGCACTCAAATAAATACATTTCCAACACAAAATTTTATTTAAATATCAAATTTCTGTATACACACATATACCTCCCACATAAATAGTACCAAATTGTTCAACTTCTTCAAATCCAAAACTTGATAAATTGGCAGCAATCCATGTCAAAATACTTAAAATTTTCCCAAATATAGGTCAAACTAAGCTTTTATTATAAAATACATCATATATAATCTATATATGAAGTATTTAAAAATGTTTATGGCCATTGGGTAAAGTGTACTTATGACAATTAGTTGACTCAGCCTGATTCTGTAAACTTGGTATTTATCTTTGTAATTTTAATTTTCATTGAATTATTTATATTTTTCAAATATAATCATAAATGAAATGGTACCTATTCCACTAATGTCATGTTGGGCAGATCTGTTACTAGATTTGATGAATACAACATCCTTTTCCTCAGTCAAGAGTAACTCAGTTCTTCAAAATAAATATTAACACAAAAATTTTTAAAAGAATGAATCATGCTACTTTAATTCACTACCATAAAATGAAATCTAAGCCAAATCTTAAGAGTTTTTGAAATGATATTAATTTATATTTAAATTTTTCTTTCTATAAAATAAATTTTCTTCAAATACCATTAGATGCTGATGCACACTCTCTAGTCTTAGGAATATAACTTATACCAAATTTTCTTCATAGGGAGAAAGAATGTTATCAATTACTGAACATCTTAGATCCAACATTGTGTTGATGAAATATTTGTCTCCATGATACGTGTGTCAATGAAAGTTTGGAACCTAATTATTCTATACAATGAAAAATTGTATAATTAAAATGAAACACTATTTTTGAGTGTCAAAATACTTAAATATTACAAGCTTTATATATGTTTTTATATATTTTTGCAAGATTATGAGCAAAGTTTCCAGGACAACAAAATTCTGAAGAATTTTGAGAATATATCAGTCACTATCACAATTATTAACCTGGACAGACTATTTAAAAACATAAAGACTTAATGTGTATTTTTTTCTAAACATAAATGGTATTTTTCTATTTTATTTCATCTTGTTGTCATATATGTAGTCACTTGTAGTTGAAAAATAGTTTTTCTTCCAGTATAGCATAGATGACAAATGTAAACCCTCGTGGAGAGCAGTAAGTGACAGCTGAAATCTTGAAGCACTTAATTTTTTAATCTGGGCCCAGGTATTAAAAAATGTATATTACCGTTTATATCTCTTTGTCTAAAGTCATATTGGAAATTGATTTCATGTCTGATTTCTATAAGAGGAGAAGCGTTTTAAAAGATCAAAAATACATACACACACATTTATAATTTGATATCATCGGTTTCTATTATATTTTCCATATTCAGCCAACAAAAGGCTTATGTTTACGTGGATATTTTTTCAAATATTATTTTGTTTGCCACATTGAAAAAGGTGAGCTTTCACTTAAAATATTTATGATACATAACTCTTTCAATTTAATGTTAAATCATAGAGAAATGTCAAATAAATTTAAAAGCAAACTATGTATTAAGCAAGATGACAGTTTTTATATCTTTTATTTATTTCAGAAATACATTAGGTCCAAAGTAATAAAGCTCCTTTTTTACAGGAACTTGATAATACTCTGATATGTTGTTGCCTACATATGGCTATTTCTTCTTAGTGTACTATAATTTCAGGTTTTATTAATAATGTTGATGAAAATTCTAACACACTAGTTTCCATTTGTTTTATTATACAATTGATAAAGTTTTTTTATGCATGTGAGATAATTTGACCTATACCACGTGAAGAGAAATGCTAATTATTCTTGTTCCCTGAAATTTCATGGTGGAAGATACAGACTCAAAATGATAAATAATGTGTCTAAAATATTTCTTTCTGACTCCAAGTCAGATGATAATATAAATAAACTAGATTTCTGATTTTTGGTTAGTCTATAATGGTGGCTGCATGACAACTTTCTACCAAGAAGTGTCATCATGTTATCTAGCAACTATGACAGACCCACTCTGACCTGAGTCCCCATTTCTAGATTAGGTAAGGATCCCCACTTCAAAGTTGGTTTACAAATCCAAGTCAACTAGAAAATGACTTACAAAACTACTGTGCTAGCATGGGAAGTATCTATCATTCATTAAGCAAATATAAATGTTGTTAATCAAATGTTTGAACCAAAGCAAGACTGTCAAAACAGAAAATGAAAAAGCCGCAGAAGCATAAGTAAGAATTATTTAATGTCGCGTGCCAGATTGAACAGAAATTTTTTAAGGGGTAATTTAATGTTGAAGAATACCTATATATTACTGTTCACATCTCTTTATCTAAAGTTGGGAATCAATCTATAAATGTTAATTGAATTGTCTGTGGCCACTGAACTGTTATAAGGAAAAAATATCAGGAAATGAACTCATGTTCATGAGATTCCAGCAACTATGTTCTTTCTACTACAACACAGATGCAACTCATTCAATTCTCATTTAAATAACATAATATACATAAACATAATATTGAACATATCCAGATTTCTGGTAAACACAGACTGGGTACAACACCTATGCAACTCTAAGCAACTGTTCATTTAATATGCATGTAGTATGAATGGACTATAGAGAAAAAATGGACAATCCCAAAGATAACAGCTCTTTTTAAGGGTATATGAAGTTTGAAATATATGTGATAAATAAGGGTAGATAGCACTGATAAGTTCTATATTCAGGCAGCAGAATGAGACTTAGTGGATTAGAAACCTGGCCCATTCAATTAATAACTGTGCAGTCTTGTGCATTTTACCTAAAGCTAGTGAAATTAACTTTCCTCATTTTAACATGAAGATTAAAATAATATCCTTTTCATGGAAATGTGGTTGAAATTGAGGAGAATTTATAAAGCACATGGCATACAGACCTACACTGTGACAATTGTAATTGGCAGTTATTAGCAAAAGGCAGTAATCTCCATGGGGGCAATGACCATGTCAATTTTGCTGTTTAGTATATTATATCCTCAGTTTCTAGTAGAGAGCTTTGCTCATAATAGACACTCAGAAATGTTTTATTGTATGGACTACTTAATGTAAGTTAACCATATAGTTTTCTAAGGGTTTAATAGCACTAATAGCACTGATGATTTGAGGAAATCGAAGCCTATCACTGGCTCCAAAGATGAACTCTGATTATGTTGCAGGTTTTTCACTCCTGTTGTCCCGAGTGGGAGGGAGTGTTACAGCTTTTTCACTGGCACTGCTGGCGAGCTCGGGGGTTCTCGTTCCACGACCAAGAAGAATAAGGCATGTGGACACCAGATAGTGAGTCAGGCAGAGTCAGATTTCTTAAGTGAGAGAAAAGTTTTCAGCAAGGAGAGGGGACCAGAACAAGGGCTGCTGCTGTGGGGCCAAGTGCCCGAGGTTTAGTGGTCTGGGGAGTGGGAGGAATGTGCTTACTGGTCTCTATGCCATCTTGGAAAAAACATCACTCAGAAAAAGACATGATAGTGAAAAGAACAAGTTGGAGGCAGAGGTGAAGGCTTGGCCTGGAACGTTGGCCCTGGACCTTGGCCCAGGACCAATCACAGGAAGAGAGGTATTAAATATATACAAAATCAATGAAAAGTAAGGACCAATCGGGAGGAGGCACATGAAGCAAGACAAAGGCTGGCCAAAGAGAGAAAAATGTGTCCAAAAGAGAAGTGGCATTTGTTCATCTAGGTTCACAGAATAGGCGTTGCAATTCAAGGACATGGGCTCTTTCTTATCTGGGGACTGCAGCTTGATTTTCAGGCTGCTTGTGTTGAAGTTGTACTGACGACTCACCCTGCCTGCCTGCTTGATGAGTTTCTTCCTTGTTCCTCCCTCAATTATTTTAAACTAATCATGATAATCCTACCATTCCTGCCATGTGACCTAAGAACGCTGGTTAAGTAAAACAGCTCAAAGCTGTTTGGAGACACCCCCCGTCCCCACCACAGACACACACACAAGGGTATTAACCTAAGTTGGCACAACAATATTGATGAGTGGACTTATATTCAAGATTAACAATGAAAGAATGTGCCACTGGCCATGAGCAAAGAAGTACCAATGACCACACTGATTTGGTCAACTAATGTTAAACACATACCACCTCTGTATTTTGTAATACATATGATAATATGTTAATTTATTATTTTAAATAATCTTAGTTGTAAATTTTGTTATTGCAGCTAAATGTATCTTAACCTTGATCACCAGCTGTTTAACAAATTAGAAAAATTAAGCCAACTTCTGGCAAATAGATGAAAGAATTAGCTTTTTATTATACCACATAAATGTTTTATTGAAACTCATTGAGTTTTGATTCAGCATATTATGAAAAAGATGATTACGGAAGAGGATTTTCCCAATATCTGTTAACTGTACATAGAAAGCAACATCATAGCCACCAGAGAAATATGCCTATGTTTAGTAGCTCTATGTATAAGGTTTAAAGCATAATTCTAAATTTACTTGTAAAATCTGTTTTAAAATCATACTGATGCTCACAGGCTGTATAAATTTGTATAAAGTTGTACAATTCCTTTAGCTCTATTCCTTGATATATAAAATGATAATAAGAGTAATGGAGTCTTAGATTTACTGTAAAGATGAAATACAATAACACACATAGCGTGTTTTCTTTGTCCTCAGTAATTTAAGTGTTTCCACTTTCTCAACATTTCACAAGGGACATTTGCTTATTATAGCAATCAGGACAGTAGTTTTGTCTTAACATCACACTCTATTTATATTTTTTAAATAAATGCAATTCTTGGACATTCTAATTACACTCTATATACATAAATAATACACTTAAAATAGCTAGGAACTAAATTTCAGCTATTTATTATAAACTTTACTTTTTAACACTGATTTTTAGATTTGAAACATACATCTTTTATGAATTATCAGGTACCATGAGTTTATATATCATATACTTTAAAAAAAAGCATGGAGATGAACTATGTACAGGGAACATAATCTTGCTCTCTGAAAACAATAACTTTGTGGAAGAGAAAAGCTTTATATGAGAAGATTTGGATACTGCATTATATCAGTATAGCTAGGATATAGTGTCCTAATAAATTCTAAATTCTCAGTGGTTTTAAATACAAGGACTTTTTTTTATTTATGCTATGTATTTATCTTTTGGCATAAATACACTGTAGCCAATTAGACATTCAGTGGAGTGGGGAGTGGAAGTTCCACCATATTGTGATGCCGCCACATAAGTACAAGGTTTTACCATGTACTTATGTTACCATGATAGAGGACAACAAGGATAGAACATCAAGATCCAACAATGAAAGACTTTAGACCAAAAGTGAAAAATTTCCTTGGCTAAAGCCTATCACGTGGTCACAGAATACTTTAATATTGGGTGGAGAATAATCCATCACTTAGCTGGAAGGAGACAAGAACCAAATATTAGTAAAAATTAGTAATGTCAACCACAGATAAGATTTCTAGCTCTAAAAGCTAGTAGCTGTGTAACAGGTGAATGGCTTAATTTTTGAGCTCTAATGTTTTAAGCTATAAAATAATTATACTTTTTAAACTTTTTTAACACTAAATTAGAAAAAATATATATATTAGATAGAAGGCACATAACACATACAAATATTTCCTGATCACAACACATTGACCAGGCCAAGTAGCAACAATGTAGATGAGATAATATTCTAAGATGTTCTGATTGATATTTCCATACTGAATCCTACGTTTAAAATGTAATATATAATTTAAATATATTTAACATTCTTTTCCCCATGTGCTAGGTTCTAGACTTGAAACAGAAATTTTTTAAAACATTGAATTAGGCTGGCTAGAAAAAAAATGTCCTACAGCAACGCACGATCCCCAAATCTTTGTGATTTAGCACAATAAGTGTACATTTCATGTTCACATAAGACACTTATGAGCTTGAGGCACCTCTCCAGGCTAAAATTCTTCCATGGTAGTACTCAATTTAATTTTTTGATCTTACAATCTCAACACTCGGCCTCTTACATGACAGATAGAATTATCAGTAGTACCTGTAACTGAGCAAGTCTGAAAAAACTGACCAGTCTGAGATAGTAAAAAAAATAATTCACAATTACTCTGTTGTAAGAAATGCTAACAAATATAATACAAAATGTATTTCAACTAGAAATAAAATCTTACAACTATGATGTTGTAAAATATAAGATTAAAAATCTGGAAATCAGAATTGCACTTCTTGCTATATAGCATTAAAAGCATATGATGTGACTGTTGTGAATATTAATCTGCTCATCTGAAAAAGGAGAAGACTATTTATTCTGTTTTTTTAAGTGATTCATAGGGTTTAAAATCTATAATTCAATAAAATGGTGATTTATGTTGCTTGAAGTAGTAAAGTTTGTAAGATATTTGCAAGACATCATCAAAATGAATGGAAATCTCAAATTGAAGAATTTAACTCAAAGATGAATTGTCTTTAAATTAAAGTCTGGTTTTTTTCCTTCTAACATATGAAGCACCAGGAAAAATTAGCCCATCATACCTTGTAGGGTCTACTATTTTTTCCTGTCTGATTTGCTTATATAATGAAACATTAACAAATATAAGCCATCAACACCATTTAATTAACAGCTAAATTAAATGTTGTAAGAATTTATATATAACTGGTCACCTGCTATTAATTATGCATGCATTTTATAGAAAATATTGAACTCTGTGAAATGATTAAATCTTAATATATTAATGATATTCGTAATTACATGATTTACAACCAAGAGAAAAAATTTAAAATATCTACCGGCAATCTAGATATTGTATTGATCAGACAAAGGCTTTAAAAGATCAAGAAACTGATGAAAATACATACAGAATAGGTTAAAAGTTGTTCAGTTTACAAAGAATTTGAAAGAATTTTCAAAGAATTTGTCCCGGAATGCAAAATATAAAATATGCAATTAACACACAATCAATAGATGGAATTGGCTACAGAATAGAATAAAAATTGGAGAACTATAAGGTAAATCAATAGAAATATCCAAATTAAAGTACACAGAGTACACAATGCAACAAGAGCAACACATGAGCATTAAAAACATGGAAGACACATTCAGGAAGATATTTGAAGAGTTAATGGCTGGTATTTTTTCAAAAATGGATGAAATATAACACCAAACAGATAAATAACATCAGAGGACCCAAAACAGAATTAATATGTAGGCTTCTCAATAAAAATCAATCAAAGTAAAAAAATACACTTTTAGACAAATGTAACGAAAAGACATGTCATCATCAAGCCTGCATTAAAATTATGATAGTTGGAAAAACATGCAGGAGTAAATCTTAGAAATATAAATAATTAGATCCAGAAATATACATCATATATTTAGTAATTTAATGTATTATATGTGATGAACTCCTGTACACTATATTAGACCTGTTTATTGTTAAGAAAAAAAGCTTTTGGAGAACACAATATCGAAAGCAGATTGTTATGCAAAAGACAGTTTGGGAGGTCCCTGTATTTTTCTCTGTACATTTGGAAATAAATGGACCTTGTCTTAAAATTGCAATATTAGTTATTTCCTCCTTAGTGCATGCAGGGAATTCAAAGGTGGAACTTTGGCAATAATTATTTTATAATATAACTGAAACTGTTAATACTTCAAATTATTCAATTTTTAAGGAGACTATAGCACTTTTTTACTTACATGTCCAACATCTAAATGTGCAAATTTGTCAGTAGTTGTTAGTGATAAATTCAAACTCTTTTAATGTAGTTTTCTATATATTTCAATCTTTTCAATCTCAGGACAATTATCTTCTATAAAAGAAAAGCTTTGAAATTTGTTTTTCCAAAGATCATGCTATAGCATATACTAACTTAAAAATGGAGAATGTTACTTTCAGTGGCATTTATGGCCCTAATTAAAACAAAATGAAAACATTTGCACTAATATTAATGTAATTAACAGTTAATATATGTCAAATATATATAACTTACAGTAGACAAAATTTTGACAAAAAATTTCAATTGACTATAATGTTTTTAAATATGAAAATATTTGAAATTCTACTTGTGTGCTCTTTAAACATTGATTTTTTTAAAACTCTGATTACACATTTTTTTCTAAATTATCAAGTGTCAAAACATTTGTTCATATGTCAGCATTAATAACATCTAGGAAATGTAATTTTTGTTTCACAGATAAAAAATAGCTGAAAGGATGCTAATATGTAAAGGATAAAATGAAAGATACTCAGGAGTAATAAAACGAATGATTTATTAATACATGAACCACTATACTTATGTTCTGCTTTTTTTCATGTATTTCTAAGAGTAAATATAAGACATAATCAAATATAATTTGTTTACTAGGCTAATCATAAATGATGCTGATTCAGCTGTTCAAATGAGAATTATAAGCCTTTGTTGATTAGGTCATTGAATTAAGTCTCCTCGGTATCATTACAACTCATTCATTGTATGCAGATTAATAGATTACAGATTTTTATATTTTTATTTTTATAGAGTTTCTAATTGAGAATGGAGCTACTTTTACTTTACATTCTTTAATTCAATTTTCCCCTCTGTTAACCTACAAGGACAAAAAATATACAGTGAAATTTAATATAATTTAGTAAGAAAAGTAGAGAAAGCCTGGGATATGTAAACCCAGCATTAAATGATCAACTTTAAACAATGGCCACATAGGTGAATATGACAGGATTCTGACTAATTTGTGTAAGAAAAAAAGTCAGTGTTCATAAATGTGAAAAAGAGAATATATTAAAGGAATCCATTTGCATCTGCATGTTAGGATTCCAAATATAAAATCTTGATATGAAATACTAGGTTATAGGTAAAAAATTTGAAGATAGCTAAGCAAAAATCAGAGGAGAGGTCTCAAGTCAGAATGATAGCCTTCCTAAAGAAGCAGACGCACACAGGTCAAACAGTGGCAGTGTGCTAACAGCCAACTGGCGCCCTCATACTTTTTCTTCGTTTAACAATATTCTCACTAATAACCCAGATAATTTTTTCAGTTGGCTAGTTAAACATCATGCAAATATTTTAGTCTCCAGAGAAAACATTGCAAGGCAGAAACTCAGAAAACTGAAGGGAAGAGCACACTAAAAGCCATACATACCTGGAGATTAAGTTAATTCACTCCTACATTTAAAAAAAAGACCTTCCAAAAATTAAAATGTGTGTTTGATATTCTAATAATTCTCATATTTTCCTAAGTCATTCTTTACCTCTATGACCAAAAAGGTTTGTACACTAAACCCTTTGAGTAATGGATACGAGATTTTTCTCTCTTACATTGTCTTTTCAATTAAGTAATCATTTTCTAATTGTACAATCTCAAATCAAAAATTTAAACTTAGTTGTTTAATAAAATAGTTCATTTCAAACATGCAATTGCTCATACCTTTATTGAAGCACTATTATATAATAGATAGCCTACTAATCTACCTCTTCTGTATTCTGATAAATATCTTTTTAGAAAATGAGCATCTATTATTTCAGGTACTATGAATAAAGGTGTGGTTTATAATTTTCAACTAACTGTAACAGGCTTAAGGACCATCATGTAAGAACAATTGCTTTTGTCTTTGTTAAGCATGAGTTGTTTTTTTGGGGGGGATTTACTTTAAAATATACATTTGGTACAGAAAATTAGGGCATCAGGGTTTATCTTCTACCTTGTAAAGTGCATCTGTCATTTTTAAGGCTTCTAATGTGCTTTGGACTTTTTTTAAATCATTTTATCCTATTAAGATGAGGTGGTTAAGATGGTGAAAAGCATGATGTTCTGAGGAAAGGCTAGGGTGGAGAAAAACTGACATAGCCCTGGAGCAAGATTATAAATAAATACTGTTGTACATTCCCTATGAACCTAAACAGTGTCTTAACCTTCACCTGATAGTAATAGAAAATATTATATTATTCTGTAATCTTCTCTAGCAAAGATAGCATAAATTTCAGGGCAGGTGCAATGAGATTACCTTCTTTCTGAGTTTGTGCCTTTCCACAATAATCTACCAAGATAATAGAAATATTGCCAGAAGAAAACAAAAGAAAAACAAAAGCAGAATGATAGTCTTGAAGGCATTGCATGAAAACAAGGTTTGAGAAAAGATGACAAACAACAACAACATCTTCAAAAGCATAGAAGAGTAACAGTTAATACGGTGTAGCTGAGAATGGAAAGAGTCTTTGGTAGAGGACATGAGAGGATACAAGTACCTAATTTCAAGGTGCGTAAAAGAGCCATAACATAAAAGAGCTTCTAATTAAACATAAAGGTCTTTAGTAACTTTTCTATAGCAAGCCAGAAAGTATTCTAAATATGTAACCAAGTGGGTGGAACTATTGGAACTGTATTTTAGAAACATTGGTATGGTAACTATAAAAAATGTGACAAGGGTAAGGTAGCAAAACCTAATTTTGAAAAATGCAATAGCCCAGGTAACAGATGGCTAAATTTTACCTTAAAGCAATGTAAAACATACTTAATTTTCACTAACATTTTGGAAATTCATAAGCTATTAAAGGAGAGGGGAGGTCCTATGACTTGACTTACAGCTTGATGAAAGAAATAATCATAATCAGAAGAAAGGGCAAAAATTCCTTGGTAGCCAGAAGAAATGGAGAATGGTGAAAATGGGAAATTATATTCTACTGCTTACAGATTGGTTGACTGATTGATTCATCATAATATGAGAACTAAACACAAAAGTTGAAAAAGAAGGTGCTTCAATTTTTCCTTACATATATTTATTTTTTGAATTGTTAGTTAAAATTGCATGTATTTGCCATTTACAACAGATTGTTTTGAAGTATGTGTAAATTATGAAATGATTACCTCTATCTAACATCTCTATTACTTTATAGTTATTTGTGATAATACTTCACATTTACTCTTTCATCAGTTTTCAAGAATAAAATATATTGTTAAATATAGTAATCGTGTTGTGCAATAGCTCCCTTGAACTTATTCCTCCTATCTGAAAT
Organism: Homo sapiens; assembly: GCF_000001405.40. Lineage (NCBI taxonomy): Eukaryota > Metazoa > Chordata > Mammalia > Primates > Hominidae > Homo > Homo sapiens. The sequence goes on along the minus strand of NC_000004.12, from coordinate 131,325,558 downwards.
GTCGTATCCTATGACCATCAACCCAAACACTCCCATGCAGCACTCAACCTTTTGATAACCACCATTCTATTATCTACCCATAAGGTGTACTTTTTTAGATTCTAGATGAGTAAGATCATGTGGCATTTGTCTTTCTGTTTCTAGGTTATTTCACTTAACATAGTGTCTCCCAGGTTAAGCATTTTTTTCCTCAAATGACAGAATATTTTAAGTGTGTGAAGATTACTTGTGTAATTATATATAATTATATATTAATTATTTAAGCTACATTTTCTTTATTTACCCATTGATGAACACTTAAGCTGATTTCATAATTTGATTATTGTGAATAATGCAACAATCAACATGGGAGTGCAGATATCTCTTCGACTTACTGATTTCATTTGCTTTGAATATGCATTAGTCCACTTTCATGCTGCTGATAAAAACATACCCAAGACTGGGCAATTTACAAAATAAAGAGGTTTAGTGGACTCACACTTCCACGTGGCTGGGGAGGCTTCACCATCATTGTAGAAGGGAAAAAACACATACCACATGGAGGCAGACAAGAGGAAAAAATGAGAGCCAAGTCAAAGGGGTTTCCCCTTATGAAACCATCAGATCTCATGAGACCTATTTACTACCACGAGACCAATATGGGGAAAACTGCCCCCCATAATTCAGTTATCTCCCACCGTGTCCCTCTCACAACATGTGGGAATTGGGGAGGTACAATTCAAAATGAGATTTGGGTGGGGACACAGCCAAACCATATTATTTCACCCCTGCCCCCTCTCAAATCTCACGTCCTTACATTTCAAAACCAATCGTGCCTTCACAACAGTTCCCCTGAAGTCTTAACTCATTTCAGCATTTGCTCAAAAGTCCACAGTCCAAAGTCCCATTGAGACATGGCAAGTCCCTTCTGCCTATGAGCCTGTAAAATCAAATGCAAGTTAGTTACTTCCTAAATACAATACAAGGCATTGGGTAAATACGGCCTTTCCAAATGGGAGAAATTGGCCAAAACAAAAGGGCTGCAGGCCCCAGGTAAGTCCAAAATCCAGAAAAGCAGTCAAATCTTAAAGCTCTAAAATGATCTCCTCTGACTCCGTGTTTCATACCCAGGTCACACTGATGCAAGAGGAGGGTTCCCATGGTCTTGGGCTGTTCTGCCCCATGGCTTTGTGGGGTACAGCCTCCCTCCTGACTGCTTTTCTGTGCTGGAGTTGAGTGCCTACAGCTTCTCCAGGTGCACGGTGCAAGCTGTCAGTGGATCTACTATTCTTGGGTCTGGAAGATGGTGGCCCTCTTCTCACAGCTCCACTAGGCAGTGCCCCAGTGGGGACTCTGTATGGGGGTTCCAACCCTACATTTGCCTTCCACACTGCCCTAGCAGAGGTTCTCCATGAGGGCCCCACATCTGCAGCAAACAATTGCCTGGACATCCAGGCATTTCCATACATCTTCTGAAATCTAGGCAGAGATTCCCAAACCTCAATTCTTGACTTCTGTGTACCCACAGGCTCAAGATGACATGGATGCTGCCAAGGCTTGGGGCTTGCACACTCAGGCTATGGCCCAAGCTGTACCTTGGCCCCTTTTAGCCATGGCTAGAGTGGCTGGGATGCAGGGCACCAAGTCCCTAGGCTGCACAAACAAGGGGGCCCTGGGCCTAGCCAAAGAAACCATTTCTTCCTCCTAGGCCTCTGACTTGTGGTGGGAGGGGCCACCTCAAATGTTTCTGACATGCATCATAGACATTTTCCCCATTGTCTTGGTGATTAACATTCAAGTCTTCATTACTTATGCAGATTTCTGCAGCCACTTGAATTTCTCCTCAGAAAATGGTTTTTCTTGTCTATTGCATTTTCAGGCTGCAAATTTTCCAAACTTTTATGCTGTTTCTCTTTTAATGCTGACTGCCTTTAACAGCACCCAAGTCACCTCTTCGATGCTTAGCTGCATAGAAATTTCTTCTGTTAGAAACTGTAAATCATCTCTCTCAAGTTCAAAGTTCCACAAATCTCTAGGAAAGGGACAAAATGCTGCCAGTTTATTTGCTAAAACCTAACAAGAGTCACCTTTGCTCCAGTTCCCAACAAGTTTTTCATCTCCATCTGACACCATGTCAGCCTTGATTTCATTGTCCATATTATCAGCATTTTGGTCAAAGCCATTCAAGAAGTCTCTATGGAGTTCCAAACTTTCCACATTTTTCTGTCTTCTACTGAGCTCCCCAAACTGTTCCAATCTCTGACTGTTACCCAGTTCCAAAGTCACTTCTACATTTTTGGGTATCTTTTCAGCAGTGCCTCACTCAACTGGGACCAGTTTACTGTATTAGTTAGTTTTCATGCTGCTGTTAAACACATACCTAAGCCTGGACAATTTACAAAAGAAAAAGGTTTAATGGACTCACAGTTTCCGGGCTGGGGAGGCCTCACAATCATGGAAGGAGGAGAAAGGCACATCTCACATGGCAGCAGACAGGAGAAGAGAATGAAAGCCAAGCAAAAGGGGTTTCCCCTTATAAAACCATCAGATCTCATAATGCTTATTCACTACCATGAGAACAGTATGGGGGGAACTGCCTCATGATTAAATTATCTTCCACCAGGTCCCTCCCACAACCCATGGAAATTGTGGAAGCTACAACTCAAGATGAGATTTGGGTGGGGACACAACCAAACCATATCAGAATATATACCCAGTAGCAGGATTTCTGGATTATATGGTAGTTCTATTTTTAATTTTGTGAGAAACCACAATACTGTTATTCATAATGGCTGTGCTATCTTATATTCTCACCAACAGTGTGCAGTGGTTCCTTTTTCTCCACGTCATCATTAACACTAATCTTTTGTCCTTTCGATGATAGCCATTCTAACAGGGTTGAAGTAATATCTCATTGTGGTTATAATTTGCATTTCCCTGGTGATGATTGATGTTGAACATTTTGTTTCATATACCTATGGCCACTTGTATGATTTTCTTTGAAAAATATTTATTCAGATTCTTTGCACTTCTAAAAATTGTGTTCTTTGTTTTTTTGATATTGAATTGTTTACGTTTTTAATATACTTTTGATATTAACCTCTTATTAGATGTATAGTTTGCAAATACTTTCTCCCATAATGTAGGTTGATTCTTCACTATGTTGATCGTTTCCATTGCTGTGCAGAATCTTTTTAGTTTAATGCAATCCCACTTGTCTATGTTTGCTTTTGCTGCCTGTGCTTTTGGGTCATATCTAAAACAATCATTTCCTAGACCAATGTCCTTAAGCTTTTCTTATATGTTTTCTTCTAGTAGCTTCATTGTTTTGGGTCTTACACTTAAGTCTTTATTTTAAGCTGATTTTCAGATTAAAGTGTAACGTAAGGGTCTAATTTTTTTTCTTCTGCATGTGTACATGTAGTTGTCCCAAAATATTTATTAAAGAGACTCATTTTGTCATTATATGTTCTTGTTAACTTTGTTGAAAATCAGTTTGCTCTATATGCATAGATTTACTTCTGGGATGTCTATTTCATTTTGTTGGTCTACGTATCTGTTTTTTTGTCAGTACAATGCTCTTTGGTTAGTATACTTGGTAGTATATTTTTAAGTCAGGTAGTGTAATGCCTCTAGCTTTATTATTTTTGCTCAAGATTGTTATGGCTTTTTGAAGTCATTTGTGTTTCTATACAAATTGTAAGATTTTTTTTCCTTCTGTGAAGAATTCTATTGGTATTTTGATAGGGACCGCATTGAATCTAGATAATTTGGGGTAGTATGGAAATTTTTAAAATATTAATTCATCCAATTCATGAACATGGGAGTTTTTTTATTTATGTCTTCTTCATTGTCTTTTGTTACCATTTTATACTTTTCAGTGCAGAGATCTTTTACCTTCTTGGTGAAATTTATTGCTAAATAAGTGTTTTATACCTGTTTTAAATAAAATTGTTTTCCTGATTTCTTTTTCAGAGAGTTCACTACTAGCACCAAAACAAAACAAAACAAAACAAAAAAACCTACTGATTTGGGTATGTGGATTTTGTAAACTTTAACTTTACTAATCTTTTAGTTAGTTGTAATTAACAGTTTTTGTGGTGGAGTATTGTGGGTCTTCTATATTAAGATCATTTCCTCCCTACAAACAGGGAGGAAAAATTTAACTTTTTATGTCAAATATAGATGTCTCTTGCTTACTCTGGCTAGGACTTCTAGTACCATGTTGAATATAAGTGTCACGAGTAAACATGCTTGTTTTATTCTAGATCTTATAGAAAAAGCTTTCAGCACTTTCCCATTTAGTATGAAGTTAGCTATGTGTTTGTCATATATGGTTTTTATTGTGTTGAAATACAGTCCTTGTATATCGAATTTGTTGAGAACTTAAGAAAAAAAATTAATTTTGTCAAATACATTTTCTTGCATCTATTGAAATCCTGATATGGTTTTTGACCCTTATTCTGTTAATGTGATGTGTATTTTTTATTGATTTGCATATGTTGAACAATCCTTGCATTTTGGGAATAAATTCCAATGGATCATGGTGAATAATCTTCTTAAGATACTGTTGCATTCAGTTCTCTAGCCTTTTATTGAGGATTTATGCATCTGGGAGATACATCTGTAATTCTCTTTTCTCTATTGTCCTTGTCTGGCTTCAGTATCAGTGTGATGCTGCAAACATAAAATGTGTTATTACATTGTCTTCAATTTTTTGGTAGCATTTGCAAATAATTGGTATTAGTTATTCTTTAAATGTTTGATAGAATTCAGCAGGGAAACTGTCAGTTCCTGGTATTTTCTTTGATAGATTTTTTATTACTGATTCAATCGTCTTATTTAATATTAGTCTGTTCAGATTTTCTGTTTCTTCATGACTCAATCTTGGTAGATGGTATTTGTTGAAGAATGTATTTCTAAGCTACACTACCAAACAAAATTACATTATTACAGTAAGCAACATCTGAGAAAGCCACTGCATGAACCTATCTGCCATGAAGGAAAAATTGCAGAGACTTGGCAACCTGAAAGCACCAAGAAACAAAGCCAATCAATCACACAATATATACTACAGTCATACCTTCAAGGGAAAAGAGGATGAAAAATCAACAAGCCCTATCCAAGAAATAGCAATTCAAAAAAAAAAAAAAAACAAAAAACACAACAGGAAACATCAGCTCTCTCTGATGAAAAGAAACCAGCACAAAAACAACTCTAGCAATACCAAAAAATTGAGTGTTTGGTCACCTCCACTAGGTCCCAAGCAATGAATTCTAACCAGAGTAAAATCTCTGAAATGACAGTTATAGAATTTAAAATATAAATGGCAAAGAAACTCAATAAAATACAGAAGTTGAAACCCAGTCCAAAGAAAACACTAAAATAATCCAAGATTTGAAAGACAACATAGCCACCTTAAAATAACCAAAAGAACTTCTGGAATTTAAAAAATTCACTACATAAATTTCAAATTACAATTGGAAGCCATAACAACAGATTTGACCAAGCAGAAGAAAGACATTCAGAGCTAGAAGGCAGGCCCTTTAAATCAACCCAATCAGGTAAAGTGATAAGAATTATTATTATAATAAAAACCCAAAGCCTTCAAGAAATGTGGGATTATGGAAAACAACCAAATATAAAACTTATTAGCATTTCTAAGAGAGAAGATAAAGTAAGCAATTTGGAAAACATATTTGAGGATATAATTCAATACAATTTCCTCAATTTTGCTGGAGAGGTCAACATGCAGATACAAGCAATGCAGAGAACCCTTGTGAAATACTATACAAGATAACCATCTCCAAGACACGTAGTAATCACACTATTCAAGTCAATGTATAAAAAAATATGATAGCTAAAGAAAAGGGTCATATTATCTATAAAGAGAAGCCCATTACATTAACAGCAGTCTTCTCAGCAGACACTATACAATCCAGAAGAAGTTGGGGGCTCATTTTTAGTATTCTTAAAGAAGAAAAAAAATGCCAGCTAAGAATTTCATATCCTGCCATACCCAAGCTTAAGAAACAGATTTGTCACAACCAGATCAGCCCTACAAGTGATGCTAAAGGGAGTTCTAAACATGAAAACAAAAGAATGATACTTGCTATCACAGAAACATACACAAGCACATTGCTAACAGATCCTATAAAGCAACTGCACAATTGTGACTGCAAGGAAACTAGCTATCAATTCTATCATGAGAATAAAACCTCATATATCAAAATGAATCTTGAACATTAATGGACTAAATGCTCAAAGAAAAGAGAGAAAAATCTATCACACAAATAGAAAGCAAAAAAAGAGCAGGGGCCACAATTCTTGAATCAGATAAAATAGACTGTAAACAATAGTACAAAAATAAGGATATTACATTATAATAAAAGATTCAATTCAAAAGAAGATTTTGGTATCCTACATATAATGCCTCTAACATTGGAGCACTCAGATTTATAAAACCATTACTTATAGACATAAGAAAATACTTTGATAGTCACTTAATAACCGTGGGAGACTTGAACACCCCACTGACAGCATTAGACATATTATCAAGGCAGAAAGCTAAAAAAGAAATTCTGTACTTAAACTTGACATTTGGCCAATTAGATGAAATAGAAATCTACCTAATAGTCCACTCTACAACCACAGAATATACATTTTTCTCATCTGAACATGGAACAAACTCAAAGATTGACTACATACTTAATTCTAAAGTAAGTTTTGACAAATTTTTTAAAAGTTAAAATCATACCAAGCATCTTCTCCGCCCACAGTGGAATAAAAGTAGAACAAAAAATAGTACAAACAAAACTAGAGACAAAACATACCAATACCTTTGGGATATGGCAAAATAAGCGTTAAGAGGAAAGTTTATAACACCAAACGCCGATATCAAGAAGATAGAAAGATTTCAAATTAACAAACTTTGTACCTAAAGGAACTTGAAAAACAGCAACAAACTAAATCCAAAGCTAGAAGATGAAAATAAACAACTAAAATCAGACTAGAAATAAATGAAATTGAGACCCAAGAAAGCATAAAAAGAATCAACGACACAAAGAGTTGGTTCTACAGAAGAATAAACATAATTAATGGACTGTTAGCTAGATTAACAAAGAAAAGGAAAGATCCAAATAAACATAATCAGAAATAACAAAGTTGACATCATATCTGATCCCACAGAAATATAAAAGTTCCTTGGAGACTACTATAAACATCTATATGGATATATTAGAAATTGTAGAGGAAATGGATAAATTCTTAGAAACACACAATCTCTCAAACTTGGACCAAGAAAAAACTGAAATCCTTAATAGATCAATGCCAAGTAATAAAATTTAAACTGTAATAAAAAATCTACCAATCAAAATATGTGCTGAACCAGAGAGATTCACAGTCAAATTCTACCAGCTCCCCAAAAAAGAGCTGGTAGCTATCCTATTGAAACTATTTCAAAAAATTAAAAAGAGAAGATTCCTGGCTAACTCATTCTTCAAAAACAGTATTATCCTGACACCAAAACTGTGCATACACACACACACACACACACACACACACACACACAAAATAAAACTACAGGCCTATATACATGATGAACATAGAAACAAAATTCCTCAACAAAATACTAACAAACTGAATGGAGCAGCACAAAAAAAAAGTTATTACACCACGATCCACTGGGATTTAATCCTGGGAGGGAAGGATGTTTCAACATATGTAAATCAATAAATGTGATTCACCATATAAACAAAAAAATAAAAACAAAAAAATATGATCTTCTCATAGATTTGGAAAAAAAAATTTGATAAATTCAACATTCTTTTAATGGTAAAAACTCTCAACATACTAGGTATTAAAAGAACATACCTCAAAATATTAATAATAAGAGCCATCTATGACAAACCCACAGCCAACATCATACTAAAGAGGCAAAAGCCAGAAACATTCCCCTTAAGAATGGAACAAGACAGGGATGTCAATTCTCACCACTTTTATTCAACATAGTACTGGAAGTCCTAGCCAAGGCAATCAGGCAGGAGAAAAAAATTAAAGGCATCCAAATAAGAAAAGAAGAATTCTAATCATTTCTCTTTGTTTACAATATGATTCTATAACTAGAAAACCCTTAAGAGTCTGCCAAAAGACTTCTAGGCTTGATAAATGACTTTGGCAAAGTCTTAGAATATAAAATCAATGAACAAAAATAAATAGCATCTTAATATACATGTAAAGTTCAAGCTGAAAACCAAATCTAGAATGCAATATGCTTGACAATAGCCACAAAGGTAAAATACCTAGGAATGCACCTAAGGAGGTTAAGTATCTCTATGAAGAGAACTACAAAATACTTCTAAAAGAAATGACAGTTGACATAAACAAATGGAAAAGCATTCCATGCTTGTAAATAGGAAGAATCAATATTGTGAAAATGGCCATACTGCCCAAAGTAATCTACAGATTCAACACTATTCCTATTAAACTACCGATGTCATTTTTTACAGAATTAGAAAAAAAAAAACTATTCTAAAATTTATATGGAACATAAAAGAGCCTGAATAGACAAGGCACTCCTTAGCAAAAAGAAAAATGGCAGAGGTATCATACCACCCAGCCTCAAACTATACTACAAGGCCACAGTAACCAAAACAGCGTGGTACTGGTACAAAAACAGGCACATAGATCAATAGAACATAAAAGAGACCCCTAAAATAAAACTGCTCACCTATAGTCCATTCATCTTAAACAAAGTTGCCAAAAATAATCAGTGAGAAAGGGACTCCCTATTTAATAAACGGTGTGGGCAAACTCGCTAACCACATGGAGAAGAATGAAAATAGACTCCTACTTATCACCATATGCAAAGATTAACTGAAGATGCATTAAAAACTTAAGTGCAAGATTCAAGATTTCAAATCTTAAAAAATTTAGAATGAAACCTAGGAAATACTCTTCTAGACATTGCCCCAGGCAAAGAATTTATGATGAGGACTCTAAAAGCACATGCAACAAAATAAAATGTCAATAAATATGATGCCATTAAACTAAAGAGTTTCTGCACACCTAAAGAAGCTCTCAACAGAGAAAACAGACAACCTCAAGAATGGGAGAAAATATTTGCAAACTATGTATCTGACAATAGACTAATATCCAAAATCTACAAGAAACTTAAGTGAATCAACAAGGAAAAAACAAACAACCCCATTAAAGTCGGAAAAGGTCATGAAAAGACACTGCTCAAAAGAAGTCATACATACTGCAACAAACGTATGAAACTATCCTCAGCATTATGAATCATCATAGAAATACAAGTCAAAACCACAGTGAGGCATAATCTCACACTAGGTCAGAATGGTTATTATTAAAAAGTCAAAAATAAACATGTTATTTAGGTTGTGGAGACATGAGAATGCTTATACGCTGTTGGAAATGCAAATGAGTTCAGCCCCTGTGGAAAGCAGTTTGGAGATTTCTCAAAGAACTAAAGCTAAAGAAAGAAAAATAGAACTACTATTTGACCTAGAAACTTTATTACTGGAAATAACTGAAGGAAAATAAATTGTTCCACCCAAAAGACACATGTACTCATATGTTCATTGCAGTACTATTCACGATAGCAAAGATATGGAATTTACCTAGGTACCCATCAATGGTGGATTGAATAAAGAAAATGGGGCACATACATACAATGGAATACTGCCCACATAAAACAAAGAATAAAATAATGTTCTTTGTAGCAACATCAGTGCAACAGGAGGCTGGTGTCCAAAGCAAACTAACAAAAAACAGAAAGCCAAATATCGAATGTTCTCACTTACAAGTTGCAGGTAAATCTTGGGTTTATATGGACATAAAGATGTGAACAACAGACACTGGGAACTCTATATGCAGCAAGTGAGGGAGCAGAGCAATAGCTGAAAACTTTCTATTGGTTATTATGTTTACTATCTGAGTGACAGAATCAATAGAAGCCCAAACTTCAGCACCACACAATATACTTTTGTAACAAACCTGCACTTGTACTCCCTGAATCTAAAATAAAAATGAAAATTTAAGAAATAAAATAAACTTAAATGAAATACAAAATAACACCAAAAAGCAAAATTTTTGTCATATTAAAGTGAGAAAATATGTTTATAATTAATACTAGTTTCTGCCACCATATTAATCCACAATAGTCAGAAGTTAGATGTGTCTTTTATAATAAAATATATTCAGGGCCGGGCGCAGCGGCTCATGCCTGTAATCCCAGCACTTTGGGAGGCCGAGGTGGGCGGATCACAAGGTCAGGAGATGGAGACCATCCTGGCTAACACAGTGTAACCCTGTCTCTACTAAAAAATACAAAAAATTAGCCTGGCGTGGTGGCAGGCGCCTGTAGTCCCAGCTGAGGGAGGAGAATAGCGTGAACCTGGGAGGCAGAGCTTGCAGTGAGCCAAGCTCAAGCCACTGCACTCCAGCCTGGGCTACAGAGCAAGACTCTGTCTCAAAAAAAAAATACATATATGTATATAATATATAAATAATATATATATAATAAAATAAAATATAAATACAATAAAATATAAAAATGTATATATATTCAGAAAATGTAATAAAAAAATAATTGGTCTTAGAAAGCTCCCTAGAGTTGTCTGTCCAATATGGTGGTCTGTAGCTATCTCTGGCTATTGAGCAATTGGAATGTAGAGTCCTCAAATTGACGTATACTATAGGTATATAATGTGTACCAGATTTCAAAGATGTCATAGGAAAAAAAAGTAAAATATCTCATCATAATGTATGGTAATTGAATGTTGAAACAATATTCTGGATATAACTAAATTAAATAAAATGTATCAAAATTATTTTCTGTTTCTAGTCACTTGTTTTCAGTACAGATACTAGAAAAGCTAATAAGGTCTTTTGGAAATATATTTAAGTGTGTGTTTCTAAATTTTCTCTATTTGGCCAGTATTTCTCTTTACTCCATTTCCCATTATTAAGACTATTAAGCTTTTTAACATGGTATGTTTTCCATTTTTATTTAACAGGCACGTTTGTTAAGAGCTTGCATTCCATTTTGTTTTCTACTTTCACGTTCACTTGGTAGCTTATATAATGTTTGTGGTATGTTGAATTAATCTCATCTAATGATGATGGTAATATTAAGGTATACAAGAAAATATCAACATGTAAAAATAACTTCCATTGATCTAGGATTATTTTAGAAGTTATGGGTGGTTAAAGGCGCCACAGTAGTTTAATACATTTATGAGTATAAGAATAACCTAAGTGCAGATAGATGATGTGACTTTACCATTTGTCCTAAAATTTGGAATATTAAAATATTAGTTAATAAGATTATTAAATTTGGAAGTGCTAAAGTTTTGATAATCATACATAAGAAATATCTACTCTCACTCCTTCCAGGTAGCTCACGGAATATCATGGTGTTCCCATACTATGAGCAATCATTTTGAGATTCTGGAAGCCATGAAAATCTCTCTCATGCCATACACTTTCTGAGAATTTCAGAAACATTAGGTTCTATAAATTTAACAGTCGTTCACAATACCTGCTGCATATTTGTTGTTGTTAATTAGTTTTCTTGTTTTCAAATCAAGACTTCTTCAGATTATTATTTCATTTTGTTTTTCTAATTTGTAGGTCTAATTCAATTTGTAGTTCTTATTATTCTTCAGTTACTAGTTCAGTATTTTGCCAAATAATTTTATCCGTTTTATTTAAAGTTTACAAACCAGTATTGTTTTACTCTAATTATTTGATATTTCCTATTGGTATTCTAAATATAATATGTGTGTTTTCTTCAGGGTTTTTCAATGAAACAGTACTAATAGGATGTGTATATATTTGCATATCCATTTGTTTATGATATATCTTTTTATATCTATACTTGTATATAATAGATTACACAAACATACATCAAAAGAGAGAGGAAAAGAGAGAGATTTATGATGAGAAGTTTGATTATACAATTATGAAGGATGTGAAGTACAGACCCAGGAGATCCAATGGTATATTGAATTATATTCCAATTATATGCCAAGTCTGAAGACAGGAAAAGGCCCATGTCCCAGTTGGAAGACTTTAGGCAGCAAGAAAGAAATCTTTTTTACTCAGTCTTTTATTCTATTCAGGCCTTCACTAGATTGGATGGGGCCCACCCACTTTGAGGAGGGCAATCTGTTTAATATGTCTACTCAAATACTAATCTCACTTAGAAACACTCTCACAGACACATTCAGAATAATATTTACCCAAATATCTAGGTACTATATGGCCCAGTTGACATATTAGCCATCAAAATGTGATAAACTAAAGATTGAAATAGTCAATCTTTCCAAACACTGAACGGTTTTTATTTTATTTTATTTTGTTGCCAAGAGGCAATGTGGAAATGCAAATACAATATGAAAAATATTTTAATGTGTAGAATACAAACATAAGATATGGCTCCTCAGCAGTATATATGTGCTGACAAATACAAATGCATGCTTGTAAGACACTGTGACTAGTAGTAGCCATCTCAGTATGCTTTATAAATAGAGGAAATGAGACTACTTTTTTGTAGTTTTCATTTAAAGCAAACATATTTTCAAATATTAGCACCTTGGAACAAGATCTTTAGAAAAGTACATAAGTCAGTTTGCATGCTTGTTTGTCTCACAGTAGAATAAAACTTGTCCGATTCCTTTTTTCAATGTTTTTTAATTTCATTAATTTCTCCATAAGTATCTGATAAGAATTCATGGTGCATCACCAATTATTGCTCAAATTTTTGTTAAACGTGATTGAATTTATTATGTTGGCCCAAATTAGAGATGACGAAAGTGTAAACTGAGACAGTAGAAAAGTGGAGCAAAGAGCAAGTTATTGTAACTCTGAAACCGTCTCAACACTCTCGTTTCCCAATATATCTTGTTTTATTAATATTTTTAATTGAGTTGCTAAGGTAGAAAAAATGCAATATTTTTCATGAAAAGACTAAATATCCACAAGTAGCCAAAATGTAATCCCATGGGGTATACCAGACACACATGATGTAAAGTTGTTACTAATACAAGCTGAGCCAGTCTTAAATTGTATATAATGGTGTTTTATATAGTCACAATAAGGTTTCCTTGAAGTATATTATTTTATCCTGTGATCCAATCTTGTGAATATTTTATTATAAAAACATAAATATGTAAAAGTTACTTTAAAACACAACTGTCTTCTGGGCACATAGTTTTATCATCTGAATGTCTTATTCTAATTGTTACAAATAATTAGAAATTATTTCCACAAAACTCATTTTAATTTTTAATTTTGAAATTACTTTTCAAACAGAAAAATTTATGAAAATCAATACAGATAGTGTTTTAATACTTTTAAGTTTCCTTTGATATATTGTTTTGATTTGGATTTACCCAGAAAAAGACCCTGAGAATAAGAATCAAAGACAAGTAACTTATTTTGCAGTTGATCTCAGAAAGCACTGGTAAGGGAGAGAAAATAAAAGAAGTCTGTCAAAGGAGTATCATTGAGAAGGTTACAGTTCTGAACAACTGACCACCTGCTAAAGAACTCCAGGAGACATCGTAGAACATGCCTAAGAGTCTTTTCACATCAGCGTCAAGAAAGTAAGGAGACGTATCTTCCAATTCACAATTATTAGTAGACAAACAGTTCTTGTCTAATAATGAATATGAATTGGAAGATGCATCCCCCTACTTTCCAAAAGCCTAGTACTTCCTGTCTGCCCCACATAGGAGTAAAGAGAAAGCCATCATAAGAGAAACATCATTTGCTGTAGCATGCTATCAGCATGTATTTGAATCAAACTCATTAACTAGTCTCTATAGGGGGTCAAACCTAACAAAATAAAGGTAATAGCTAGACAGAGCAAGAATCACATTTTGTAATATTTGCCAGTGTGTTTTCAAGCAGAAAGCCATTTTACTTTCTACATTTGAAAATAAAGGTAAGAATAGGAAAGAAGGACATGACAATCAAATTAAGAATATTTCAATTTCATTTGAACAGAGCTGGGAAAACTTCTATTCCTTATTACTAAGTGCATCATGAAAAGGTGCATACTCAATGCAGCATGATGAAGTTCCATGTATCAAGGTTACTTGAGAATTGCTTTCTGATGACCAGAATATTTGCATGCTCAAGTAAGATGAATAGGAAAATATTGTAAAAGGTAGTAAACAGTGAAAAGATGAATTCTGAAGAATTTGAAGAATGGCAGAATATGCCACCCCATCTGACAAAGGGCTAATATCCAGAATCTACAAAGAACTTAAACAAATTTACAAGAAAAAAAACAACCCCACCAAAAGTGTTCAAAGGATATGAACAGACACTTTTTTTTTTCTTTGAGACGGAGTCTTGCTCTGTCGCCCAGGCTGGAGTGCAGTGGCGTGATCTCAGCTCACTGCAAACTCTGCCTCCCAGGTTCACGCTATTCTCCTGCCACAGCCTCCCGAGTAGCTGGGACTACAGGTGCCTGCCACCACGCCCAGCTAAATTTTTTGTATTTTTAGTAGAGACAGGGTTTCACTGTGTTAGCCAGGATGGTCTCGATCTCCTAAAGTGCTGGGACGAGGATGGTCTCGATCTCCTGACCTCGTGATCCACGAGGCCTCGGACTCCCAAAGTGCTGGGATTACAGGCATGAGCCACGGCGCCCAGCCGAACAGACACTTCTCAAAAGAAGACATTTATGCAACCAACAAACTTATGAAAAAAAAGCTCATCATCCCTGGTCATTAGAGAAATGTAAATCAAAACCACAATGAGATACCACCTCACGCCAGTTAGAATGGCAACCATTAAAAAGTCAGGAAACAACAGATGCTGGAGAGGATGTGGAGAAATAGGAATGCTTTCACACTGTTGGAAAAAATGTCCTTTTTATAGCAGGAGGTTATTCCTATAACCAGAGACAAGGAGTTAAAACTGAAAAATATCTGTATGAATAAATCTTGTTAAATTACATTTTATCTTTCTGGTTACTTTTAAGAATTACCTGCTCTAGCTCAAGCCCTTTTGTGTTGTCATGTTCTCACAATTTAGTACTTTTTGTCTAATTTAGTATATAAGTGTGCAGTGCTAACTGCTTCCTTGGGTCTTCATCTCCTTATGAGTTATTCCATGTGATATAACACTTTTTTAAGAAAGAAAATATTGTATGCTTTTTTTCTGTTAATGTGTCTCATATAAGTTTAATTCTTTTGTACAGTCAGAGACCCTAAAAGGGTTGAGGAGAAATTTTTTCTGCCCTACAGTTCCAACAAACAGAGAAAATGGAAAGACAATTATATAGACATGTGGTCAAAAAGCATGCATAGTGGAATGAAGGTATAATGTGCTTTGAATAAGAAAGTGTGGAAATAATATGTAAATGTTCAAGATTTTTACTGAAGCAATTATTAACAACAAGTTACAGATATGCTTCTAGAAAATGGTGACTGAAAAGGAGTCTATCTATTCCTGATAAGGAGGTTCAGAAACTGGCAAGGCTGTTGAATTTTTTTTTAAAGGTATGATTTAATTATTTAGTAAAATTTGAGAACCCTGGGAAAATTTAAAGAAAGTAAAGTGGTCTAAGTCTCAGAATGGGAAGTATTAAGTGGAGGTGATTGAGATTTCTGAAAATGAGAGCCAGATGAAAGTACTCAGTTTCAAGTTGACAGGAGACAGTAGAAATTCTTGACTCCCATCTCCCCAACCCCCACTGAGTTTGAAAAATGTAGTATATGAGCCAATGAGTGGTTTGCAATGGAAAACATAAACTGAAACCATGTTTTGAGTCAGAAGGAGATTTTAATTATGTTTCAGATATAGAAAAGGTATTCTGTGAATAATGAGGGACACAACTTTCCCCCTCTTTAGTTGGAAAGAAGGCTTCAGAAATCATAACGGCAAAAAGCTCTTTGTTATTCAGAGACATCTAATGTGAATTATTTTTCACTATTTCTTAGCCTCATAACTTTTATTAATTCACTTTGTACTATTGAAGCTTCAGATATTTTGAATGTACTTCCTAACTGGCTTTAAATTGGAATATGCCCACGAGAACCTTGGTTCATTAGAAGGCAGAAGAAAAACACAATTCTGCTCTTGTCCATGGAGGCAGGTGCTGGTAGTTGCTGGTGGTTACTGTAGTGACAGTAGAGTTTGTTGATTGTTGATGCCAACAGTCTTTTTTGTTTGTTTGTTTTTGTTTTTGTTTTTGTTTTTGAGATGGAGTCTCACTCTGTTGCCTAGGCTGGAGTGCAGTGGCACAATCTTGGCTGATCGCAACCTCCACCTGCTGGTTCAAGAAATTCTCCTGCCTCAGCCTCCCAAGTAGCTGGGACTACAAGCTAATTTTTTTGTATTTTTAATAGAGAAGGGGTTTCACCACGCTGGGAAGGCTGGTCTCAAACTCCTGACCTCATGATCCGTCTGCCTCGACCTCCCAAAGTGCTGGGATTACAGGCATGAGCCACCATGCCCGGCCGACTCCAACAGTCTTTGGTGTGACTAGGCTTCTTAGGATTTCCCTGCTTTACTTCTCTTAGCTCCCTTTTGCTCATTGATATTTTTCAACACTTTATGAGCAATTTCTTATATCTCTCTGTTTGAAATAACAACTTTTATGTTAAAATTTTATTTCAGTGTTAGAATAACGATTAGGGACTAGATGACTTCATTAAGAATAAAGTTATTTTTCTGCATTAATTTCTTTAATATGGACTTTTTCTTAGTATTATTTTAAATTGGCAAATTATACTTGTATACATTTATGGGGCACAATGTAATGTGTTGAAATATGTATACAATATGGAATAATCAAAGCAAGCTAATTAACATCACCTCACTTACCTATAATGAAGACAGCACCTCACTTACCTACAATTTTCTGCAGTGAGAGGTCTGAGATGTACTTTCTTAGTTATTTTGAAATATAAAATACACTATTATTGACTGTAGTCACACTGGTGTGAAATAGACGTGAAAGCTTATTTCTCTAGTCTATGTGAAACACTGTGCTCTTGACCAAGAACTATGTGTTTCCTCCCTGTCTCCAGTGAAGATTTTTTAAAAGGAACCTTAAATGTATGTCAATAGAAGCACATTCAGTGTTTGCTTATATCTGTACATCTGTTCTTTTTCTAGATATTGCTGTGACTTCTACTTCAGTGCTTCTGAAACTTGTTCAAACAAATCACCTGTGTATTTTGTTAAAATGCAGATTCTGGTACAGCAGGTCTGGGGTGAAGCCCAAGAACCTACATTTTTAGTAAGCTCCAAGGTGATGTTGCTTGATATGATTTGGCTCCGTGTCCCCACCCAGATCTCATGTTGAATTGCAATCTCAAGTGTCGGAGGTGGGGCCTGGTGGGAAGTAATAGGATCATGGGAGTCCTTTCTAATGGTTTAGCATCATCTGCCTAGTTTTCTCTCGTGATAGAGTTGTGACAAGTTCTGGTCGTTTACAAGTGTGTAGCATTTCACCATTATCTCTCTCCCTCTCCTGCCCCCATGTGAAAACATGCTTGCGTCTCTTTCACCCTTTGACCATAATTGTAAGTTTCCTGAGGCCTCCAAGCCATGCTTTCTGTACAGCCTGTGGAACGGTGAGTCAATTAAACCTCTTTTCTTCATAAATAACCCAGTCTCACCGCTGGGCATGGGTGGCTCATGCCTGTAATCCCAACACTTTGTGAGACCAAGGTGGACGGATCACCTGAGGTCAGCACTTTGAGACCAGCCTGACAAATATGATGAAACCCCATCTCTACTAAAAATACAAAAATTAGCCAGGCATGGTGGCACACACCTGTAATCCCAGCTACATGGGAGGATGAGACAGGAGAATCACTTGAACCCAGGAGGCGGAGGTTGCAGTGAGCCGAGATCACACCACTGCACTCTGGCCTGGGCAATAAGAGTGAAACTCTGTCTCAATAAATAAATAAATAAATAATAACCCAGTAGTTCTTTATAGCAGGGTGAGAATGGATTAATACAGTGCTGCTGGTGGTTACTACCTTATTTTATTTTTTAAATTGTTTTTATTTTATTTTATTTGTATACATTTATGAGGTACAAGCATAATTTTGTTACATGCAGGATTGCTCAGTTGTGAAGTTAGAGGTTTGAGGGTAGCCATCATCCAAATAACATATTCTATTCATTAAATAATCTCTCATCACCCACCTTCCTTCCACTCTCCAATCCTTCTGAGTCTTCACTGTCTATCATGCCACACTCTATGTCCATGTTTACACATTATATAGCTACCACTTATAAGTGAAAACATTCAGTATTTGTTTTTCTGTGTCTGACTTATTTACTGAAGATATTTACCTTCAATTGCATCCATGCTGCTGCAAAAGACATAATTTCATTTTTTTCTTATAGCTGAATAGTATTTCATTGGGTATATATACCACATTTTCTTTATACAGTCTTCCACTATGGATACGTATGTTGATTCCATGTGATTGCTACAGTGAATGGTGCTGTGGTAAATACATGGGGACAGGTGTCTTTTCAATATAACGAATCCTTTTTCTTTGCGTACATATGCAGTAGTGGGATTGCTAGATTGAATGGTAGTTCTATATTTAGTTACTTGAGAAATCTCCATACTGTTTTCAATACAGGTTGTACTAATTCACATTCCTACTAACAGTGTATAAGAGTTCTTTTTTTTTCTATATCCTTGCCAATATCTGTTATTTTTTGTCTCTTTAGTAGTAGCCATTCTGACTGGTAAAAGATGATCTCTCATAGTTTTAATTTCAATTCCTCTGATGATTAGTGATGAATATTTTTATATGCCTATTGGCTATTTGTATGCCTTCTTTTGAAAAATGTCTATTAATGATTTTGCCCATTTTTTTAATGGGGCTATTTTGTTGTTATGTCGAGGTAATTGTAAATTCTGGATATTAATCCCCTGAGATATGCATTGTTTGAAAATATTTTCTGCAAGTGGTCTGTTTACTTTGTCCATTATTTATTTTGCTATATATAAGCTTCTTATTTTAATATAGTTCCATTCATCTATTTTTGGTTTTGTTGCCTGTGCTTTTGAGGTCTTAGTCATAATTTGTTTGCCTGGACCAATGTCCTGAAAGTTTTCCCTAGGTTTTTTTTTTTTCCAGTAGTTTTATAGTTTCAGGTATTACATTTAAATCCTTAGCCCATCTAAGTTGATTTTTGTGTATAATAAGAGATATGGGCTGGGTGCGGTGGCTTATGCCTGTAATCCTAGCACTTTGGGAGGCTGAGGCAGGTGGATCACTTAAGGTTAGGAGTTCAAGACCAGCCTAGCCAACAAGGAGAAAGCCTATCTCTACTAAAAATACAAAAATTAGCTGGACATCATGGTGCATTCCTGTAATCCCATCTACTTGGGAAGCTGAGGCAGGAGAATCACTTGAACCCAGGAGGCGGAGTTTGCAGTGAGCCAAGATTGTGCCACTACACTCCAGCCTGGGCAAGAGGGGTACTCCACCCCCCACCAAAAAAAAAACAGAGAGAGATATGAGTCCGGTGTCATTCTTCAGCATATGGCAATCCCATTTTCACAGCACCATTTATGTAAAATGTTGTTCATTCCCCAGTGTATATTCTTGTCAATTTTCTCAAAGATCATTTGGCTGTAAATAATGTGGCTTTATTTCCGGGCTCTTTATTCTGTTCTACTGATCTATGTGTCCATTTTTATACCAGTATTATGCTATTTTGGTTATTATAGCCTTGTAGTGTAATTGTAATTCAGGTAATGTAATGACACCAGCTTTATTATTTTTGCTTAGAATTTATTCGGCTAATTGGCCTTTTTTTTCTTTTGGTTCGATGTGAATTACAGAAGAGTTTTTCTCTAATTCTGTGAAAATTACATTGGTATATTGATAGGGATTGCATTGAATCTGTAAATAACTTTGAGTAGGATGGTCACTTTAACAATATTAATTCTTCCAATCCATGATCATGATATGCTTTTCCATTTGTTTGTGTTATGTATGATTTTTTTCATCAGTGTTTTACAGTTTTCTTTATAGAGATCTTTCACCTTCTTGATTAAATAGATTCTTAAGTATTTCTCTTTTTTGGTAGCTATTGCAAATAATATTGCCTTCTTGATTTGGTTTTCTGCTGGATAATTATTATTGTATAAAAACACTACTGACTTTTGTATGTTGATTTGTATCCTGAAATTTTACTGAATTTATTTATTAAATCTCAGAGCTTTTTGGAGTCATTTTTATATTTTTCTAGATATAAGATTATATCATCAGTAAACAGGAAAAAATCTGCTTCCTGTCTTCCAATTTAGAATCCTTTTATTTCTTTCTCTTGCCTGATTGCTCTGCCTAGGGCTTTCAGTACTATATCAAATAGAGGTAGTGAAACTGTGCATGCATTATGTTGTTCCAGTTCTTAGAGGAATAGCCCTCTTCAAGTTTTCCCCATTCAGTATGATGTTGGCAATGGGTTTGTCATACATGGACTGTATTATTTTAAGGTATGTTTTTCTGATGCCTAGTTTATTGAGGGTTTTTATAATGAAAAGATGCTGAATTTTATCTAGTGCTTTTCTGCATCTATTGAGATGATCTTTTTTTTAATTCTGTTTATGTGATGTATCACATTTGTTGATTTCAATATGTTGAGTCATCCTTGCATTCCTGCGATATAACTCACTTCATTATGGTGTGTTATCTTTTTGATGTCCTGATATATTCGGTTTACTAATGTTGTGGTGGGAAATTTTGCCTCTATGTTCATCAGGAATATTGGCTTATAGTTTTTGTTGTTGTTGTTGTGTCCTTGTCTGGTTTTGGTATCAGGGTGGTACTGGCCTCTTAGAATGACTTAGGGAGAATTTTCTCTTCCTTGATTTTCTGGAATAGTTTCAGGAGGACTGATATTAGTTGTTATTTGTATGTTTGATAGAATTCAGCCATGAATACATCTGGTCCTGGGCTTTTCTTTGCTGAGAGATTTTTTTTTACTACTACTTCAATCTCACTACTTGTTATTGGTCAGTTTAGGTTTTCTATTTTTTCCTTGTTTACACTTGGGAGGTTGTACATTTCCAGAAATGTATTTATTTACTCTCAGTTTTCTCGTCTGTGAGCATACTGCTATTCATAATAGTCTTCAAGATCTTTTGTATTTCTCTGGTATCAGTAGTAATTTCTAACATTTCATTTCTGATTTTGCATTTAGTGCTATAATCTTCTCCATTAGCATCATTTTTGCTCTATCTCAGAGGTCTTATTATGTTGTGTTTCCATTTATCTGTTTCAATTTTTTTAAAAATCTGCCTTAATATCTTTATTGACCCAATTTCTGTATTTCATAATTTCTTCTGTATGCATTTCTTCTGTCTTAATTTATTTTTTCTAATTTTTCTAATGTCATGATTTCTTCACTGACCCATTGTCCTGGAGATTGTTGGGTTTCCTGTAACTGAATGTCTAACTCTTGCTAGACTTGGGAAGTTCTCATCAATTTATCCTTAAATAGATTTTTAAATTTTAAATCTTTCTTCCCCTTTGGGAATACTGACAATTTATAGGTCCAGTCACTTTATGTAGCCCCTGACATCTCAAAGACTTTGTTTATTCCTATTTATTATTTTTTATTTATGTTTGCTTTACTAGATTATTTCAAAAGACCTGTCTTCAAGTTCTGATATTCTTTTCTTCTGCTTGCTCTAGTCTATTAGTGAAGCTTTCATACGTATTTTGTATTTCGTTTAATACGTTTTTTACTCCCAGAATTTCTTTTTTGCTTTCTTTAAGATATCTATCTCCTTGGTAAATTTTCCATTGATATCCTGGATTTTCTGATTTTTTTTATTGGTTCTTATATTTCTCTTACATCTTATTGAGCTTCTTTAAATCAATATTTTCAATTTTTATTGGCAATGTGACATTTTTACTTTCTTTGTTTTTATATTGATATATGCACATCTATTGTTAGAGTCACTTCTTCCAGTTTTTTGAAGTTGCCGTTGTAGGAGAAATTTTTTCTTGAAGGTGTGTCTATGTTGTTGGTTGAGTACAGCATAATTTATTTTGCAATACATAAGGGTCAGTGGTCTCTGAGTTTCTTGGTCGTTTAAGGTATGGTTATTAGTTGAGGCTATGGTGAAATTTTTCTGGGAACCGGAACATCAGGTGGGTCGGTCCTTGGACCCCAGTAGTGGTAGTGGTGGGCTGAATAATTGGCCCTCCTTGTGTCTTGCTCAGATTCCGGTTGTGGCAGCAGTGGGCTAGGCATAGGGGTTGATTATCAGGCCTCTGGGTAGCTGGAGTGATGTAGGTGATGTGAGTAATAGAGGTAGAGTAAACCACCTGAAACCAAGAAGTCCATGCTAGTGTCGTTGGTGGCAAAAATGCTTTGTGCAGGATAGTCTTCTGGGCCACTGGTAGTGCATGCAGGTGGAGTTAGCTGTGGTGATATCCATCAGTTGTGCCGGCCCAACCTCAGACCCCAACAGGTGTCAACAGTGATGGATTGGGGCTGGGAAATTTCAGGGCCCCTGGGTGCATCCTAAGTACTATGGGAATGGGTCCAGGCTAGCAGACTTGCCCTCAGGCCTCCTGGTAGTGACTTGATATGTTTGCTGACAGATGGTGGTCAGGGCAAGTGGTAATCATCAGGACACCACCAGAATTCTCAGGTAAGGGCTGTTGTGACTGTTCTCTGGGCCTGCCAACAGGGTTGGCAGAATTCTTAGCTGGAGCAGCATGGGAATGTAACTGTAGAGAGTGCAACCTGTTCATTCCTTAGTCTCGTTGCAGCCCATAATAGGGTAGTGGGACTCGTACTAAGAATGCATGGAAGTGCCTGGTATCCCTTTTCCTCCTTGGCATGGTAGCTGCAACATCAACTCAAGCCTTGCCTGAGGGCAGGATGCATATTCCCTGTGGCTGAATTCTCAGAATAGTACCAGCTGTGGGCCCTCTACAGTGAGTTCTGTGGGTAAGAAGCTATAGGAAATGCAGTCTTCTAACACCTTGGGCTCACAGCAGCCTGTAGCAGGGTGTTGAAAATTGTCCTAGAGCTGTATCTGAGTGCCTGGTCTCCCTTCTCCCTCCTTGGCCGGGTGGCAGCTGCAGCTATGTAATTCCAATCTTGACATGAGGATGAGGCACAGCTCAGTGTTCAACTCAAGATGGCATCACAAGCCCACAAACAGAGAGAACAGGATTCTTCTTGGGTGAGCAGCGAGGGTAAGAATTTGTAGGAAGTGCAGTCTTCTGATGTCTTGGTCTCACAGCAGCCTACAGCAGAGTGATGGGTATTGTCTTAGGGGTGTGTGGGAGCACTCAGTCTGTCCTATTCCTTTTGGCCCAGAGGTGGCAGCTGCAGCAACTGCCTCAGTGCAGGGCATTGACACTGGTAACCAGGCTCTCAGAATGGCGCCAAGCTGTAGCTGCCCTGGGCTGCGATGCCTGTAGAATTCTGCCTGAGCTCTCTTTCTGGAGCAATGTCTCTGTAATCTCTAGGCAACACCTTATGTTAAGCCACATGGGCTAAGGTGTTCTCCCATAAGGATGGTGACAAAAATCCCATTGCAGAAATGTAGAGTCCCAGGGGTTTCTCTCTCACTCTTCCCCTGCATTCAGGAGCTTCTCCTTGCTACCGGCCAGTTTCTAACTGGGCAAGCTACCTCAAACCCTCTCTTTACTTGCTTTTGGTGCTGTCTGACACTTACTTCTCTGTTGAATCCTAGGATTCTCTCTTAGGAAATCTGTTTGAAGAGTAAATATCTATTTGCTGTCGTGGTTCCTCTCTGTGAAGGAGATGCATACAAGTTGTGTATACTCAGATATCTTGACCCTCTTGAAATAACTATTAATGGTTTTGTTTCCCTTACTAGACTCTGACTGAAATCTGTAAGATTTGTCAGAAGCATTGTATTTGCATGTCAAAAGCTACTTTCTGGAGAGATGCTGCTTTATTGTGTTAAGAGTAGCTGTAAATGGTTTTTAATCTAATGAAACAGACTGAGTATACTAAATGCTCACATAAAATTGGGAACATCAGTTAGGCAGTTTTGGCAGTAAAACGGACTGCTTTTCTTCATTAGGCAATAATGGAGTAGCCGTTTTATGAATGGGAGTTGATTCACAGAGTTTAGAGCAGCACATAGGGTCCATGTAGAGAGGAGGATACGTGTTAGATTTCATGCACTTAAATTTTTTTTCACAAGAAGAGAGATACAATTCATGAAGCCAATAAAATATGCTACTATGTTATGATGAATTTATTATGATTAGCCCATGGGTTCTTGTTGAATTCTTTGTAAATAAATTTATAAGTATTTTATGTCTAAAAAATTTAAATACAACTATACATATCCAGGTATTTGTTGGCCTCAGCTAAAGTAGTAACAATATTAGAGTGTCTGTTTTCAAGGGACTCACTTATTTTATTTTTTTATTGAAATCTATAATAGTCTAGGAACAGAAACATTTTTAAGTTTCTTAAACTCAGGTGTCCACTGGAGAATAACACTGTTTTAGAAAGATGACTTTAAGAAAACATTTTCATAGCCAACTCTTTAAATAAGTTATTCACAGATTTTCAAAAAATAACACATAATAACTACACTTTATCATGTAGTTCCCCTTAGCAGCATTAAAAATCTATAGTTATTATTTGCTTAATACTCTCAAGTACTAATAGCATATTAGAATTTTGAAAATCAAATGCTACTTCTTTTTAACAGATGCAACTATGGGAATGCAAGTGAAGAAATCAAGCGCTACAAACCAGCTTTAAACTAAAGGAAACCTTAGGAATCTTACTTCTTTTTTCTTGGTCTATTTCCTAGACAACATATTTAGTTATTAAAATGATTTTGAACAGAATATAAAATTAGCAAATCTACTGCAAGCCTAAACATTTTATCCTCACAGATGATTAAAGCAAATATAAAAGATTCCATTCTCAATCTAAAGAACCTGTTTTTTAATATCTCAGGTTATTATGTAATTACCTAGTTATGTAAATTATCCTTAATGCTTCATTAAACACAGAAAAGGGAATGCCCTCTTTTCACATGTCCTCACATTTCTAGAAGAAAAATAATGATATGAAATAATGCTTCTTTGTTTCTTCTTCCCTCTCTTTTATTTCATATATAAAATCTCTATATAAGCATATATAATGACACACATACACATAGCTACCCACAAACGTGTAAAATGTATTTTAAAAAATTTACTGTTAAGGAAATGGATAATTCTGGGACAGTGATTCTTGAGAGAAGATTATGCACTTCATTCAAATACCACCTGTATGTGCCACAAAAGTTAAGGAGTGAGACCTGCATATAGAAAAATCTCTGAGAAAATGGACATGAGGAACAATGCTGAAGCCACAGTGTCTTTAAAAATCTATAAACTGGCCAGAAATTAGAAACTCCTTTCCTTTCCAAAACTCTTCACTACAATCTCCATTCTGTCATTCTTACAGTATTTTCACAGACCCTATAGTCAGCCTTATAGACATAACATCTCAAAATATCTCTTTAATCCCATAGACTTGGCATAAAAGTAGTCACTTTCACCTATGGACATTTGTAGAGAATAAGTTTTTTGTGTGTGGTAATTTTTATTTGTTTATTTCTTGCTTTTCTTTCTTTTTTTTTTAATTATACTTTAAGTTCTAGGGTACATGTGCACAACGTGCAGGTTACATAGGTATACATGTGCCAGAGAGCTAGAGGTTCTCCTCATTGTGTGGTCCATTATAATGACATATAGTTAAAATGATAAAGAGAAGCTGTTGCTTTTTTTTTTCCCCTTAAGACAGTGGTCACAAATTTATGAGACTGTGAAAAATAAGTATTGTCTGTATTTACAGGTTATTTCACTCACTTCAAAAAGAATGCTTTGGACAGAGGGCTACTATGATGGCTGGTCATGTTAGTTATGGTTTAAAAAAGGATATATAAAAGATAAATGAATGTGGAGAGTATTAAATTAAGGTAAATAGTGGCAGCATTAATATGAAACATGCAATTAGAATGAAAGAAATGATAGAATTGTTTTTGTGATGGTTAAATAGGACAAAATTATTTAAATTCATTAAAAACTAAAGCTTCTTTAAACAAACCCCACAATCAAAATGACTTATTTTTTATGAGAAATGAATTTCCAAACACAAATGTGTGCTAATTTTATTATGCTTTATATTTTCTTGATTCATTTATAGGTATTTTTTTCTGCTAAATATTACATAGTTCTGAGATAATAACCCTGACTGTGACTCACATTCAGTAAATGATTAAGAGTGAGCTTTCCGGAATCACATTTTTTAAGTCTTCCTTATTAATATTTTCATATTCTATACCATCATTTTATGTTCTCCTGAAAATTTTTCTCATAAGGATTTCAAGCCTGGCTAAAAATATAGAAAAAAAAAGGGAAGGGTTTGAGGGGAGGGATACAATGTGCATTACAAAGAATGAACAATGAGAAGATAATTAGAATCCATGATGCCCTTGAGGTCTAAGAATTCTGAACTCTGTAAGCCAGGTACTGTGATACTATACCTACATATCTCTAATTATAGTTTTGCCTCCAGTTGGAGATTATCAGAAATCTCAGGCATTAGTTTTCTATAAAAATAGCATATTGCATTTTTGGAAAAGAAATAAAATATAAGATATTTTCAATGAACAATAAATACAATGATGATTTGTTAAGAAACATTTTCAGAACATGAATGCAATGAGGCAATTTCTGTGCAATTATTAAATATGCCCTCGTTTTCTGATCTTTCCTATTATAATCAGTAATTACATTTCTTTCAGTAAAAATCCCCTAGGAGATGCATTTTTAGCATTAAATCAAAGAGTTAAGTACATTAATTCCATCTAGTAGGGCACTTTTTTTTCTATATTCACTTACTCTTATCATTATGAGTTGCACATGCATTAATATTAGAATATGTAATAAAATTAAAAATGAATACTAATTTTCTAGGAAGTATTTCCATCTCTAAGCAAGGGGAAATAATCCACAAAAGCTTACTAATCAAGAGACATCATTTATCTTTTAAAATGTAGCATAATTTTATGCATAACTATGTTGGGCTTGCTGTGTACTTTGTTTTATTGATACAGTACTAACTAGGACATTCTTCCAAAGTTATTGTAGCCTATACTAGAAAATAGGCATATCAACGTTTAAGTGTAATAACATGTTTTATTAACTAAAAATAGATGTATGCTGTATTAGTCAGGGTTCTCTAGAAGGACAGGGCAATAGGATAGATGCATATATGAAAGGGAGTTTATTAAGGAGTATTGACTCACACGATCACAAAGTGAAATCCCGCAATCGGCAGTCTGCGAGCTGAGGTGTAGGGAAGTCAGTCTGAGTCCCAAATCTTCAAAAGTAAGAAAGCCGACAGTGCAGCCTTCGGTCTGTGGCTGAAGGGCTCAAGAGCCCCGGGCAAACCAGTGGTGTAGGTCCAAAAGTCCAAAAGCTGAAAAACTTGGAGACTGATGTTCGAGGGCAGGAAGCATCCAGAGTGGGAAAAAGATAGAGGCCAGAAGTCTTAGCCAGTCTAGTCCTTCCATGTTTCTCTGCCTGATTTTATCCTATCAGCACTGGCAGCTGATTAGATGGTGTCCACCCAAATTGAGGGTGGGTATGCCACTCCTAGTCCTCTGACTCAAATGTTAATCTCCTTTTGCATCACCCTCACAGACATACAAGGGACCAATACTTTGCATCCTTCAATCCAATCAAGTTAACACTCAATATTAACCATCACATATGCAGATGATGAATAGTAAACAAAGAAGAAAATGGTCCCTTTTACTTAAGAATGGCAGTAAAGATTTTATTGGAGAAATTGAAATGGCATTGAGTTTACAAAAATGAATAAGTGTTAATGGAAAAGAATATTCGGGATTGTGTGAAAGATATAGTTCAGAATGATGGAAACTACAAAATTAACATTAAGTATAATCTGCCATTTTTCAGAACTCCATGAAATTTTGTTTATGTAAAGAGTGAGCTCTATCAGTGAGTATTAGAGAAAGGGTGACTATAGAAAATCCTGGAGAGGGACGGGCATGGCAGCTCACGCCTGTAATCCCAGCACAGGCCGAGGCGGGCAGGTCACCTGAGGTCAGGAGTTTGAGACCAGACTGACCAACATGGAGAAAACTTGTCTCTACTGAAAATACAAAATTAGCCAGGCATGGTGGTGCATATCTGTAATCCCAGCTACTCGGGAGGCTGAGGCAGAAGAATCACTTGAACCCAGGAGGCAGAGGTTGAGGTGAGCCAAGATTGCACCATTGCACTCTAGCCTGGGCAACAAGAATGAAACTCCATCTCAAAAAAATAAATAAATAAATAAAATTCTGAAGAGATAAGCAAGAACCAGGTTACATTTAAGGAATTTTAACACAAGTTATGATATGTATATTGCCTTTTATAGATACAGATAAACCAATGTTAATTATTATGCAATGAGATTATATGATCATGATTTTTATCCATGATATTTGGATAATTAATGATATATTTATTATTTAAAGTAATTTATTTTTATCTGTACTTTTTTATTAGTTTATTTGTAGGGTTCTGAGCTTCAAAATTAGACCTTGAGTCTGTCTTATTGTCCCAGGGGAAAGAAGACACACATTAACTACAGAAGATGAAGAAGCCAATTAAGTATCTACATATATTTCTTTTGAACTCATAATAAAACCATTGCCAAAGTTTTGCATTTAAAAAACCAGCTTTTTGAAAAAGGAAAGATTTTTTTGAAATCTAAAATATTAATTTTCAGAGTACTTTGCATAGTGTTTATGTCATATGTAACTTGGTAGAGAAAAATACATAACAATTTAAGAGCCATGGTTTTTAAAATATAAATTATTCTCCATGTTCTTTTCAGGAAAGATAACTCAGAAGGCTGTGACAAGAAAATCTTTAGAGGGGGAAAAATGAACAATAGAATACATTATTGGTGTAGATGCTAAGAGTCAGAATGTTAAAAGAGAGAGAATGTAGAAAACCTATATAAGTTTAGAGTGCTCTCAGAGCACTCGAACACATGTGGCTCACTTCTCAACAGTAATCTGAGAACACTGTAAGCCTCATTGAGAAGTTGGGCACTCATGATGGTATTTGAGAAGTTAAGTAGTAATAATTAACTAAAGTTAGACTGAAAAACTTGAGGAGACTCCAGAAAGTCCTACTAAACTCTGTGTTGCAGAATGCAGGGAAAGCTGCCAAGAGTTCCTGAACATAATAAAGACCTTTAGAATGCATTCATTTTTTTAAAAAATAGATATTTGTGAAGTACTTTTATCTTTCTTTTTTATTTCCTTGATTTATATACACTACCTATATATGGTACACATATATTTTATATGTTGCATATTTATTTATTACATATATATCACATATATACGTATGCTACAAATATATGTATGTTAAATATTATATAGATAGATATATTACTGCATATGTTACACAGATAACATATATTTATCTAATTATCAGTCTAAGCTAACAAGATAAAAAATCTCTTCTGAAAGATAATTTCTTTTGTATTTTGTTAGTTTATTGATTTTATAGACATTTATCTTGTACCACTTATATTTTAATCTAGTCCAAACTTGTTCAGGGTATGAGGAATTACAATATCAAAATTAGAATCAAACCCTAAAACTGGGAACACCAAAGTGTGAGCAAAGTAAACATGAGCATCCTAGATCATGCTGGCATCCTTGAAGGTGGATTTAGTGGACCTATATTGATAAGGTGTAGATAATTTTTAGGAGAAACAAAGTTAATATATCTATGGACATAAGAATTTACAAAGTTATGTTCTTGGTATTTATAAATATTAAGTTATAAATAAATATTAAATAAACTATTATTTATGTTTAAATAAATTAACACTATTGATGTCAACAAAAACAACAGATATATCAAATATATTACATTTCAACCCTTAAATTATGAAATGTAGAGTTCAAAATTTTAAAAAATATTTAAAGTATTGAAAAAACAAAGATAAATCTTGTAGTAAAAAATGAGTCAGTAATTAAAGCTTACTTAAAATAACAGGTTGTTTGGAAAAAAATCAAGTAATATTTTAAAACTCATAAGTTATGCTATTGGAATTAAAAGCTCAGTAAATGAATTAAACAGAAATTTTGACAGTGCTGGAAACAGAATAAATAAATTAGAAATTAGATCTGAAGAAATTACCAGAATATAACTAGCACATGGAAGCGATAAAAGGAAGGTTAAGAGACATAGCAGATAAAAATAAGCAGATCCAGTATACGTTAAGCTGAGAAAACAGAGGAAAAATGTTTTAAAAAAGAAAAAATATTCCAAAAAATCACTGCATTTTTTAAAGAATTGTTGAAAGATATACATCCACAGGCAGAGACAGATTTTTTAAAAGAAGCATAAAAGGAGCAATTCAGAACTTTATTGCAGCAAAACTAAAAAACATCAAAGAAAAAGAAAAGATCAGATAAAAATCAGCTAGAGGAAGAACTATTGAATTTACCAAAGTTTATTTATTTTTGGTAAACAATTATTATGGAAGGAAGCCAGACATGAATAGAATAATATCTTGAATTTGCTTACAGAATATAACAGTGAAACAAAGTAGTGTACACAACCGAGATTATGTTATGAAAGTGTTAAATAAAAATGTATGCATGGTCAGATAAACATTATCATGTAAATAAAATGTTGTATATTTAGGTAAATATATTTTAGAGTCTTTGTAGAATTTGGGATAAGATTTAAAAGTAAACATTTTGAAGGTTTTAAATATGCATGGAAAACTTAGAAAAAATAAGTAGATTCAAATAACAAGCTAAAAGTGAGAAGATGAGTAATAATAAAACAAATAATCTAAGGTTTAATTGTTCAAAGAAACCAACAGAAGAATGAAGACAGGATGGTAAATGAAATTTTGCAAGAATCTAACAGTATACCATTCAATATATAATGTTATATAGAAATTCTGTAAAAAAATCACTTACTGGGAAAATTAAGAAATCCATCTTTATAAGAAGATATGTAGAATATACAGGGAATATATTTAAACATAAGAATACATCTAGAAGAACAAAATATCCAAATATGTAAGAGATTTGGAAGATGGCTGATGACATAGAGCCAGGAAGAGCTACTCCTGTTGAGAGACAAGACCATCAAGATGACCAGCACATTCCAAGCAGATCTTCTGAAAAAGGCATTGAGAGTGGAAGGAGGGTGTATGCTGATGCTGGACTGAAAGTGGAGGAAGGTGGGAACCCTGCATGGGGTTGCAGACAACCAGGACTCATGGCTGGCCCTCAGCAGCTCCTAGAAAAGGGGTGAGTTAAGCAGGTGTAGAGTGGCCCATTCTTGCCGTTAACCTCTGGAATCCTAGCTGCAGGAGACTCCGTGACCCCATCGACATGTGTGATCTGGCAAGGATAGCTGCTTGGAGAGTTGGCAGGGACAGGACTCCAGCACCTACAGAGCTCAGAGGGTTTGCCACAGGAAAAACTGCATTTGAGCATGGCCAGGGACGCCTAATCACCACACCTCGCTATGCTCCCTTAGGTGTCTTTGGCTTTTATTGACTCTTGGAACTGGACAGAACAGGGCTATCTTGCCCATGGGACAATGTAAGTCTGATCTGAGCAACCACTGTTTGCTGGCCTTTTTCAGGGTTTCTGTCTGGCCTTACCTCCTTGGAGAACAGCCTCAGATGCTCAAATGGGGTGCTTCCCAGTGTCCACCACAAGAGCTTCTTCACTGGTAGACCTTGTTTAAGCATTGTAGAGATTCAGCAGATGGGCCCCCACAAGCACACTGGTGCCTGAAGCCTCCCTCTACCACTTGGCCAGTTCATATGTGAGCATAGAACTTGCTGCCACTGCTTAAAAAGAAGCACTTTTGCAAGCAACCCCCATAGGAGTGTTGCTGTCAGTGGACTGAAAACACCTCAGCCCTTCCAGTGCAGCAAGTGTTTAACCTTGAGGGCCCGGAGAAGAAAGCCATGAGGCAGGCCCCAGCCCCTCAGTGTTAGAGCACACAGCCTAGCAGTGTTAAGCTGAGCACTGGCCCCCTGAAATCATCCAGAAATGAAGCCAGACAACTGAATTCAACTTATACCGCAGTCAAACCCTCAAGGGCAACAAAAAATATAAAAGCAAAAACCCCATTCAAAAGACAGTAATGTCAAAGATTAAAGAAACATCAGCCCACACAGATGAGAAAGAACCAGTGCAAGAACTCTGGCAACTCAAAAAGCCAGAGTGTCTTCTTACTTCCATATAACTGAACTAGCTCCCCAGCAATGGTTCTTAACATGGTGAAATGGCTGAAATTACACAGAATTCAGAATTTGGATGGCAATGAAAATAATTGAGATTCAGGAGAAAGATGAAACCCAATCCAAGGAATTTAAGGAATCCAGTAAAATAATACAAGAAATGAAAGTTGAAATAGCTGTTTTAAGAAAAAATTAAACTGACCCGATAGAGCTGAAAAATTGCAAGAATTCATAATATAATACAAATTGTTAATACCAAAATAGACCAAGCCAAGAATAGAATCTCAGAGCTCAAAGACCAGTTCTTTGAATAAACTCAGTCAAACACAAAGAAAAAAGCATGAACAAAACCTCTGAGAGATATGTAATTATGTAAAGAGACCAAACCTATGACACATTGGCATCTTTTTTTTTTTTCTTTTTTGAAACAGAGTCTTACTCTGTCACCCAGGCTGGAGTGCAGTGGTGCAATCTCAGCTCACCGCAACCTCCGCCTTCCGGGTTCAAGCGATTATCCTGCCTCAGCCTCCTGAGTAGCTGGGACTGTCGGCGCATGCCACCACAACTGGTTAATTTTTGTATTCTTAGTAGAGACAGGGTTTTGCCATTTTGGCCAGGCTGGTTTCAAACTCCTGACCTCAGGTGATCCACCTGTCTCGGCCTCCCAAAGTGTTGGAATTACAGATGTGAGCCACTGCACCCAGCCTCATTGGCATCTTTGAAAGAGAAAGAGAGAGAGAGAGCAAACACTTTGGAAAATATATTTGAAAATATTGCCTATGAAAATTTCCCCCACCTCACTAGAGAGGTTGAAAGTCAAATTCAAAACAATTCAGAGAAGCCCTGAGAGATACTATACAAGAAGACCATCCCCAAGACGTAAAGTCCTCAGATCCTCTAAGATCAATGCAAAAGAAGAAAAAAAAATAGGGGTATCAAGAGGGAAGGGGCAGGCTACCTACAAAGAAAATGCCATCAGGCTAACAGCAGACCTTTCAGCCGAAACCCTACAAGCCAGAAGAGATTGGGGGCCTATATTTACCATTTTTAAAGAAAAGAAATTCCAGTGAAGAATTTCACATCCAGCCAATTTAAGCTTCTTAAATGAAGGAGAAATAAAATTCTTATAAAAGATGGAAGTGATAAAGGATTTCATTACCACCAGACCAGCCTCATAAGAGGCCCTTAAACAAGTGCTAAACCTAGAAACAAAAGACTGTTACTGGCCACCACAAAAACACCCCTAAGTTTATAGATTATTGATACTATAAAGCAACTGCACAATCGAGTCTTCATAACAATCAGATAACAGCACAATGACAAGATCAAATATACACATATCAATATTAATCTTGAATATAAACAGGCTAAATGCCCCCTGTAAAAGACAGAGTGACAAGGGTAAAGAAGCAAGACCTGTGTGTAGAGCCTTCAAGAGACCCATCTCACATGCAGTGAAACCCATAGGCTCAAAGTAAAGGGATGGAGAAAAATCTATGAAGCAATTAAAAAAAAAAGCAGGGGGCTGCTATTTTTATTCAGACAAAACTGTTTTTAAAAATACAATAAGTAGACTGATTTGAGTAATAATAAATCTCCGGCCTCCTGCACAGCTAGCTCTGTGTGAATTACTTTCTCTATTGTAATTCCCCTATCTTGAGAAATCAGTTATATCTAGGCAAGAGGCAAGGTGAACCCATTGGTCAGTTACAAATTTGGGGGATTGCCCTTGTGCCTACCTGCCTGCTGTTTGGTAGCCCTCCTCTGGTGATGGATCTAGAAGCCAGCCCAAGTGGCCGCCTAGTTCTCTTGGACTAGAGACTGATTCTGATACTCTCTCCACTGGTGGGGTGCTGCTGACCCAAGGTGCATGGATTTAATTGCAATAGAGAAACAGTCCTGAAGAGACATCCCTTAAATGTAGCTCTTTCACAGGGTGTCTGTCTGTAGACCCATTTCAGAGTGTCTGGGTTGGTGAGTATCCTAGGCACTGCCAACACCTCCTTGCTTCTCCCAGCTGGTTCTGTAGCCCCATGGTGGGGTGTCTGTTTGTAGCTCGATCATGGGTGTCTGTCTTGGTTTGGGTCCTTTGAGGGTCTTGGTTTGTCTGTAGCCCCATTGCAGGGTGTTGGTCTCAGTTCAGCTCCTGGGGGGGTCAGGTCTCAGTTGGCTCTCCTTAACTAGTAGGAAGAGTCTTGGTTTTGGAGACTTCTTTCCAATCAGGAAGATTTTGGGGAGATTTCTTAGATGGAAAATAGGAGGATAGTTTGGAAGGGATACTCTTGGAGTTTTTGGTTAGAAATCTGATTTGGAAGGCCTTCTGTCCATCTCATCTTAGTGTGTGTTTTTATATGTGGAAGGAATCTCAGAAGAAATTGCTGATGAAAGTCCAGCAGACCTAACTCAGAGAACCCTCCCTATTTATCCAGTAACATTTGGTAAGCCCTGAAGAAAGCTCAACAGGCCTGTCTCTGGGTGACTATCCACTCTTTGCCTTGGCTACAGACTGCCCCCCCCCCCCCCCCCCCCCCCCCGCCCCACCGCAATTGTGAATTACAGTCCGGTGGTCATTTTTCCCCACCTGGAGTGGATCAAGGAAAACAGGGACCAACCAGAGAAAGTTTGAGCTATGCCAGCTTGATATTAGGTGCTGAACAAGGTGACTAGTGTCTGTTTTATTATGTATATTTTGCTGAGATGGAAAATGTTAATCTGGTTTCCAATGAAGCCCATTGGGCAACATCTTGCAAAATTGAAAATCTTTTGCCTATGGTTCCATAAAACAGAAAAGGTTGATTTTTCTTTTGTAAAGTGGTTTGAACTCCTCAGCTATGGCACAGTGATCAGGGTCATCAAAGCCACTCCATTCTCCTGGAAGCTGCAGAGAAAGGGAACTCAGAAACCTGGCATGCCAGCCAAAAGGGTAAGAAATTCTTACCAGTCAAGTTTCCGATCTCTCTCTCTCTCTCTCTCTCTGTGTATGTTTGTGTGAATGCTAAATGTCTCTATTTGTCTTCTCTGCAAGGGTTTGATTAATGTAAAAAGATTTGTGAGATTAGTCTTAGGCTGTAGCAAATCTGATGTACTTTGTACTAAGAATTTGTCTTTCTGTGTTGTTCTGTAATGGAGAGAGGGGTGTCACAGGATAGAACGTGGGTTTTGGATCCCTATAATTCTACTTTTCAAGCCAGACCATCAGGCTAGTCAGTTACAAACTTTGCTACTGGTCCCTGAAACTTCTATTTATTTGAGTTAAAGTCTGTCTTGTTTTGTGTTCTTAAGAGCTTAATCTTGTGACCACGTGGGGATACTTTCTGTTGGTTTCCACCATCCAGAGGACAAGAATTTGGAGGTTCATGTCATAGTTAGCATTAAAAATTATCTTGAGCAGTTAAGAGCCTTTGCAAGCTTGAAATTGGCTGCTCTAGACTTCTTCTGGGAAGAGCAATTGAAACTGCTCAGTGCTGTATAGCTCAGAAGCTAAGGCTTTGTCTTTTGACATGATGGCTGGGGTTCAATTCTTGGCTTCCAGACTGATTCCTTTCTGCTTTGTTATTTGTGTAACTTTGCCATTTATTAAGGTTTTTTTTTTTTTTTCATTTTTCTCCCCATGGATAGCTTCTGATTTCCTGTCTTGGATTTTCCTTTCTCTAAACTACCCTTGGGGAGATTCTAAATCTTGTTAAAAATAAATAAATAAAGATAAAGAAACTGCTTACCATCTCTTTGAGACACATTATGTGTCAATGATTAAGTTATAACCCTAGTTAAAACTTATTAAGTTAATGCGGGAAATTACCTGTGGTAGAATTCAAAAGCCAGAAATATTGGCTGCCCTGACTAGAGTCTGTAATAAGATATTTAAAATGTTTTTTTTAAGAAAAAAAGAGCTCTATGGTTAAAATCAGCTCAGTTAAAAAATGGATAATCAAGCTAAATGTATTTCAGAGGGCTTTATCTTTTTCCTTTTGCAGAATTTTGTTTTTCTTAAAAAAGCTTTTTTTTCCTTCTCAGTAGACTGAATTGCTCTTCTCCATTGTGTCTTCTTGCCACTCTTGATGCCCACATGAGAGAACTTAAGATAAATTTTAACATCCTGGGACTCCTGGGGAAAAGCAGAGGAGGCACCTCAAACCCCATTATGGGAAAACTCTGTTTTCCTCACAGAAGCCTAGGAATTGAAAGATAATAGATTCTTCTCAAATTGTAAGGCTCTGTTCTGTTTTTCATTCTGTTTCCTGACATTTTTGACTTTTCTGGGTATCAGAAATTACTTCATCTTATGAGAGAAACTTGCCGTGTAATAACTAACTAGGGAATATACTTCTTGGGATGTTTAGTGGTAGTTATGAGGGGATACTCAGTTCTTTGATGTTTCTATTAGAGAATCATGCTCCTGGCCACCTGGAAGATATGAAAACATCCCCAACCTCCACTGAGAGATGAGAGTTCTCTGGGGGATAGTCTTGATTACAAAATGGGCTGATTGGCTTTGGGTAGCCTTGCAACAAGATGCACAGTAGAAGCACTGCACTATCTACTCCTGTAGTATTTCCCTCTTTTAGGGGGGATCCAGGACCCAGTATAAAATGTCACCCTTAATTTTGAGGATCTGTCTTTGCCTTCCAGCTGTGCCTACTTATTAGGCCCTACAAACTCCATGCTTTCCTGGTCCTGTTCCTCCAAGGGCTCCATCCTGAAGCAGTAATTTAATTAAAAGACTGCCAAATGAAAAATCTTATAAGTGCTGGATCTTCCATTTGTCTGTGTATTTATATGTGCTGTGTGTGGGATGTTTGTATAAAAAGAGCTCTGATTAATTGGCTTAGAAAAATAAGTGCTTAAATCAAATATTTTGTCAGAAAAATAGAAACTTTAGTGCCATTGTGTCCATATGACTGTAGTAAACTTTTGGAAATAAAGACAGTTTTAAAGAGTATTAATAAAATAAAATGTTTTCAAAATGTAGACATTTGGTCTAAATTAAGGTGAGATATCCGATTTTCTAAATGCTTTAAAGTCATAATCTCATTTCTTGACTTTTGAAAATGGTTCAATTTACCTACTTTGGGACATTGTATTCTAGATAAGCCCTGATAACTTGTGGAGTTAGCCATCCCCCACCTAGCTATGCTGCAAGGAGCAGATCTTATCTTCACTTCTGTCTTATGTCCTAGGCTCCACACCTAATACATAATTAAAATTGCTTACTTATCAGGTTTTTTAACAAAAATAAAAGTTGTTGAGGTACATTGTAACATATAATTGAGACTACTGGATAAATAGTTTTACATACAATGTTTGTATGGAAAGTAGAATGCATTTTTGATCACAGATTATAAGAAAGCATGGAAATATGGCTTTTGTTAAAGGGAGTGCAATATTGTCTAGTACAGAGGGTTTTAAAGATTGTCTTAACCTGAAAAAAGAATGGGACAAAACTGAAGGTTTCAGCAAGATGAAAAGGATTTGTGAAGGGTTAGTCTTGTAAAGAAAGTTCTGTGGGCATAAGCAAGTTGGCTAAGATTTGAAGGGGATTATTTAATCATTTTCCTTAGATTGAATCTTAAAATGAAAGCACACTAATGCAGGGCCAGAATCTGGGCCCACATGTTCAAACAACAGGGTTTTCTTAGAAAATTCATCTGCTGTTTAAAAAAAAAATTGTAAAAGGTTTTAAGTTTATGAAAATCTTACCTCATGGTCAAACTGACTAAAACTGGATAGATTTATAAAATATAATTTGAAAACTAGCTTAAGCATTAAAGATGCAGCAATGCAAACATGAAATTTGGTTTTCTCTTTTAAAAAAGGTTTGTATGTAATATTAAAAGATAATGAAAAGGTTTTGTTTGCCCTTTTGGTAAACAGCAGGGGAAAAAAAGGAGGAGAGAAAAGAGATGTATTCAGTTGGCCTCATGCTAACCTCATTGAGTCTTATTTGGAAAGCTAATTCTCTTCAGAGTAAATATTTTTACCTTTAAAAATTTTGAGTTACCACTTTGGATAAATGAATAACCTGTGATTCTATTTGGTGATATCCAGTGTTTTAAGCCTTTGATATTTGACAAACTTTCCAAAATCAAATTATAAAGTATGTCATTTTCTGACCTAACTGATCCTTTAGACATTAGGTCCCTTGAAGTCCAAAAATGATGTGTTTGGTTTTTTGGTGTAAAAATTATGTAAGAAGCATTATCAAATATGAAATGATGTTTGGCTTTCTTTGGGCTATATTTGTGTAAACGTGCTGGTATATGTCCCAAAATTATGTAAAACTCCTATAATTCTGATATAACCTAGTATATGTTATCAGTAATAATTATAATTGCTATATTAAATTATTGTGTGCTACAGAGGTTACAAATTTCATTGTCAATTGTGTCTACATATGTATATTCAAAAATAAAAAAAAAGCTTCCCTGTTTAGATGCTTAAAGTCATGTTTTTAAATAATGAGGGTGTCAAATAAGAAATTGTTTTGGAAATTTTTAAAGAATTGTAACTGACCACTATTTAAAATGATACATATCAAAACCCAATAATAATTCAAATGCAAAAGTTTATTGAAAATGTAAACACATTTACAGATATTAGAGAAAAGCTAGAAATCAAAGACCTGTGT
The DNA here is from genome assembly GCF_000001405.40 of Homo sapiens. NCBI lineage: Eukaryota > Metazoa > Chordata > Mammalia > Primates > Hominidae > Homo > Homo sapiens. The sequence continues at coordinate 131,286,611 of NC_000004.12, read as the reverse complement.
TTAATATAAGAAGTTAGAAAAGAAAGAAATATCATTTCAACGTATTTTAGAAGTGTGGGTAAAAATGAGCCAGAAAATTATGAAATTGACAATAAAGAGAGCATCAAATGAAGTGAAACATCATTCTCTAAAAAGTATAATATAATACATTTTTCACCCAAAGTACATTAAAAAGAGAGGAGGACCTATAAGTAATAGTAGAATTGAAACAGGGGCATAGCTATAGAGTCAGTACAGTTTTAAAAGTAAGTTCGATGATTAAATTTTCAACTGTTTGAGAACAATATAAACAAACATGAAATAAACACAAGTTCTCAAACAAATTTATTACCTAAATTAACCCAAAGAGAAAAAAGTTTGAATAGCCTTTTATAGGCCTATAGTTATATAGTTAGAAATATATTTACAAAGTTTATGGATATCAAGTTTTATAGGAACCTATTGTAAAAATGTATATCCTTACAATTGTTCCTAGTTCCTGGTAAGTTTTCAAAATACTTGTAATACCTGGGTGATAAAAATGTCTTTATTATGTTAATTAGGTACCTTAAGATGAACTCTTCGATACCTTCCTCATCAGGGATGAACACAAGAAAGACCAATCATGTTATTACATGGTTGGAACTTTGGACCATCCCAACCTTCAGGGCTGAAGCTTTGGTTCAATCATGTGGTCAATAATTATGTTAAGCATACCTATCTAGTGAAAATTTCATAAAAACTCTGAACACTGAGGCTCAGTAGACCCTTCTGGTTGGCAAACACACTGATGTGCTGGGTGATGACTTACCTGGATTTTATGAGGCTAGGACATAGAAGCTCCACTTCCACCTTCTGAAAGCCTTCCCCATATGTCTCTTCATGTGGTGTTCCTAGTATGTATCCTTTATAATAAAACTACAGTTATAAGTATGTGCTTTTGTCAGATTCCACAAGTCATTCTATCAAATTGCCAAACCTAAGCAGATTGTGATAAGCTCCAAATTTATGGTTGGTCAGTCAGTAGTACAGATGATCTCCAAGACTTGTGACTGGTGTTTGAAGTAATGGCAGTCTTATGAAGAACTTTACTCTTAACTTGGTAGGGTCTGCAGTAGCTCTGTACAGTTAGTGTCAAAATTGAGTTTAACTGTAATATACCCAATTGTCTTATTAGTGTTAATAGGACTATTCAACATCAATCCTCTGATACCAGAGGATTCTATAGTTCATAAAATTGTTCAGAGAATTAACAAAAAAATCCATATCTCAACTTTCTTTTATGGCTGAAGAAATTGTGATTTTAAAATTTAAGTGACTTGCCTCAAATCAAATTCTTAGTAGGGCATGAGCTTGAAATAGTATCAGGCTCTTGAAGTTCTAAACTCAAGTGCAAAACCTTTTTACTACACTCTGCTAATAACATCAAAGTATAAATTAGTAAGTTACAAAGAATTTAAAACGTTAGTAAATGCAAGTAAAGTCTTTAAAAACTTTTATTTAACAATATCATAAGACTTGGAATTATTAAACTAATGTTGGCTATGGTGAGATTTACATAGAACATTCATATTATATCTACATGTGAGTAGATAACTGTTGAAATAATTGCTACAAAATTGTTCCAATTATAATTTTTAGTTTAATGTATTCTTTACTATTCCTATGTAGCCATCTTTGCAGTAATCCAAAACCAAATATGATATCAGTAAGGCCTTATTTATCCATAAGGAAAAGAGATAAACTTGACTTCAATTTTTGAGATTTTGTGAATAACCGAGGACAAAATGAAATTATATGATCTGAGAGAAGAGGCATCGAACATTTTCTTCCATAAAGGATTGGAAAAGGAAGATAATAATTTATGACTACATGTAAGTTATATTGAGGCAAGGGAAGAAAAATTTCCAAAGCAAATTCATTGCAGTAGAACATTTATATGCAAGAAGAAATGTATATTCTGATTTAAATATTTTTAACTTTGGTGTTTCTGTACTTTTTAAACCTATTTGTGTTTTTAACAGTTAAATGATAATCTGGTTTCTTTACTTCTTCCTGCTCTTTTCATTTTGTAAAAAAGATTAGAGATGGAGCTGGATTCAAAATTAAAATGGTCAATGTATTATATACTTATTAAAATACAGCTTTTGATTTAAATCCTGACTACTATTGATTATTCAATATCATTATATTGGAATAAAAATGAAATGGACAGTGAGAATGGAAAATGCACATACTTAATATAATGGAAAACGTAAAAACAGGTTGAATGAATTATTGTTTCTCTTGTGATGGGACATAATATTTAATCTATAATGCAACACAGATAATCAGACAGTGCACTTAAACAGAAGCTTTTTGCTAAAAAAGATGACATAATATAATTATAGTTTCAGTTAAAAAAAGAGGCTGATGTTTATTCCTGGATGTGTTTATCTGAAATATTAGGGACAGTAAGTCAGTAAAATGAAGATAGTTTAGGTTCTTAGAGCAATATATATATGTATATGTGTGTGTGTGTGTCACGTATATATACACACACACACATACGTATATATACACGTATATATACGTGTCATGTATATAAATGTGACACACACATATACATATATATACACGTTTATATACACGTGTATATACAAGTGTACATGTATACGTGTATATATACGTGTATATATGTCTGTATATACATCTATACACACACATACATTATACACACACAAACACACACACACACACAGGCACACACACACACCCTTATACCAGAAAAACCATTAGGGGAAAATAAATGTCTAAACTAAGCAAATTTAGCTCATTTAATATTTTGTTGTATTATTGAACAGTCATTAGTATTTAACTTGTAAGTGATTGAAATTATTAACAATCTTTGATATTTCTTAGAATTTACAGTTTCTTGGTTTTCTATAACACGTATTCTAGTTTTACATTTAACAAATTAATTTTATCAATTAATTCTAAGACAGTCTTTAGTGAACTGAGCCTTTTGGATAAAATAATAAATAAGTAATAATATAATTCATTATCTATCATACTGTCTATAATAGTTAGGGATGCATCTTTTTTCTGAAAGCTTGACTGGCCTCAAGCCCCTCTTGTGAGTATATACAGTAAAAATAAGAGTTTAAAAAGTGAGATAATTCTAAAATCACTGTAAAGTTGGACTCCACCAAAAAGATAAATCTTTCACAAAAATAAAATAAACACACATAGATTATAGTTTGAGGATTGTTCACTCCAAGAGTAAAAACATATTTTTGTATATCTTCAGGAAATGGCCAATTTAAAATTTAATCTCCAAAAAAGTATTTTAAAAAATTGGAAATTTTCACCCCCTTTTAAAATTATATTAAGTATGAATTGAGCAAGTATCATAAAATAACAAAAATAATATTGTAATGAATTCTGGAAAACAATATAACAAAATATAATGGCAGTATTTTTATGTATTCAAATTCTAAAAATGTATTTATTTATTAATTCATTCACCTAAAAAAATATTTGAGGAGCCTGACCTATCTCCCTGATTATTTTAAGAGATAAGAATAATGTCTTAGTCCATTTGTGCTGCTACAACAAAATATCTGAGACTAGGAAACTTATAAAGAACATACATTTATTTTTTCACAGTTCTAGAGGCTGGGAAATTCAGGATTAAGCCATGGGCAGGTTTGGTGTCCTATCCTCCAAATGGGAGAAATGCTGTGTCCTCACTTGGCCAAAGGCAGAAGAGGGAGAGAGCAAGCTTCCAGAATGCTGCGGGAAGCTTCTTTTTTTAGGACCTTTATCCAGTTTAGGAAAGGAGGAGTCCACATTGCCTAATAACCTCTCAAAAACACCACCTCCTAATACTATCACATTGGCAACACTTGAATTCAGGAGGGGACACATTCAAATCATGGCAGAGAGGTAAGTACAATCAGTCTCTACTGGGAAATTCAGACAAGAAAATCAAAAATTAAAGCACAGTGTATTAGTACTCTGATTATATTTATCTATAGGGTTCTACAAAAGCCTGGTGTTGGGTACAACATTCAGTCTCAATAAGTCAGGGAAGGCCAGGACTCAAAAGCAATAGGAAATGTTTGTATTATCCCAAGTAGAAAGAAAGTGGTTTTTCAGATATGTTAAAAGCAAGAAAACATTTAAAATAATGATAAGTAACTACTGTAAGTTACTAATGTTAAGTAGTTAGACAAGGCTAATGATGTAAAAAATATGTTAGATGATTAAGGCATAGTTCAAGGTCTAGTGTGCCATGCTAAAAAAATTCAATAGACAATAAATAGCAATCAAATGATTTGAATAGAGTAATACATGCATGATTGAATTTTTATTACAAGTACAGTTTGAAAACAGTGTGCATAATAAAATTAAGAAGACAAATCACAAATTCTGGACAGAGATGAGAAAGAAAAAAATATTTAAGAGGCGATTTCTACTAGGATGCTTAATTTACTGTGTGAGAAAATGCACTAAGACAAAGCTAAGAGCAGAAATTGGTAAAATAGAAAACTTATGCAATATAATGTATAAATTTATAAAATTTAACTTTTTGAAAACTAATAAAATTGATTAAAGACACAATGAATGTACTATATATAAAAAGAAAGAACAGATAATTAACATCATGAGTAAAAGGGGAAATTTTTCATATATTAAAAAGAATACAGTACAATATATCTGCTGACAAACTTCACACTTGATAAACAACATATTTATCAAATCTTGGATAAACATGATCTGTCACAAGTGTCACAAGAACATACAGAAAATGTGATATGTAGGTAGTATCCTATAACTTAAAAAGAAGTTGAAATTGAAGTCTATAGGGTACCAGTGGAGTTATTGTCTTTCCTTAAAAAGTTAAGCAAGGAAAAAAACAGTATTCTTATCTACTTATCCAGAAAAATAAAGAAAATATTTCTGAAAATGTTTTATGAGGCCAGTATAATATAGATTCTAAAATATGGCAGACAGCACAAAATATAATGTGACAGCACAAAATATAATGTAACATCACAAATCTCAATGGAAATTCTCATAAAAGAGTATCAAAACAATCTAACAATAATCTAGTAATGTAGAAAAGAATAATGCATTGTAACCAACTTGAGTTTATTCCAGAAATGCGTGTTGTATTTTATTTAAAATAATTTAATTCAGCAAATTAGAAGAACAAGGTAAACAGTAATGTTCAATTTGCTTTATAAAGAAAATTAATTTATAACATTCAACATCCATTTGATAAAGGATACCTACCGAAAATCTTACACTAAAAAACATATTCATGTCAAAAATTGTAAAAGCTTTTCCAGTGGACTAGGATGGCCAGTGTCAACATTTCTATTCAATTTTGACCTGGAGGTCATAGATAGTGTAAAAAGGCAAGGAAAAAGTATATGCTGATTGGCAGGAAGAATTAAAACTGTCATTATTTCCAGACTGCATTTTCTTACATGTAGAAAATCTCAGTGCCTCTATGGGTAATTAAAATATTTCAAAAGGAAAATGAGCACATTGCAGGATACAAGACCAACACAGACAATTCAATTACAGATGCTCCTGAAATTATGATGGCATTTCGTCCTGAAAAAGCAATTGTTAAGTAAAAAAGTCTTAAGTTAAAAATGCATTAAATACACCTAACCTGCAGAAGATTAGACTGTCCTCCCTTAATCAGGCTCAGAACACTTACGTTAGCCTATGTTGGAACAAAGCCTGTTTTATAATATAATGTTGCATATCTCATGTAATTTATTGAATACTCTACTGAAAGTGAAAAACAGAATGGTTATATGGGTACTCAAAGTACAGTGTTGACTATGTATTGCTTCTGTAGCATTATAAAGTTGAAAAATTGTAAGTCAAACTTTCATAAGTTGGGGACCACCTGTACATGTATACATATCAGTAACAAATTCAAACTTAAAAATAGATATGACCTTAAAATCATAAAACATCAACTATCCCAGAAAAACTTAGCAAAATATGTGAGTTGTCTATGCAGAAGTCCACAGACCATCAGTGTGATAAATTAAATTATTTTATTCCAAACAAATTAAAGTATTAAGTTGAATTATATAAAATATTTTAATGCATCATAAAATGTTGAATATCAGTAATTTATTTTAATATTCAATGTTGTAAAGGCATCAAGTCTTTCCAAATTGATCTATTAATTGAAAAGAATTCAATAAAAATATCAATAATATGGTTGCATAAATTGATAAGTCTATTATTTTTAAATAGAAACAACCAAAGACAAAAAGAGGAATGTAAAACAAAACATTGATGTGCTTATGTTACTAGAGCTCAAAACATATTATAAATTATTGTTATTAAAATATTATATTGACATAAACAACTAGATCATAAGAAGTTCCAAAATAAAAATAATTTACACAAGCATATTTGTTTTATAACAATCATATTATTACATCGAAGAGAAAAGAAGATATTTTCAATAATGTTGCTGAGTCTTTTGAGTTTCCACGAGCGTGAAAACAGAAAACAAATTACACTTTCTATTTTTTATGGTATAATAAACACAAACTAATTTCATATTGTTTTGTGTTCAAGTCCGAAGACCTGAATGTGAAAATTAAAATTATAAAGGTTCTAGAAGATAACATGTGAGAATATTTTTATGACTTTAACGAAATAAAATATTTCTTTAAAACAAAACTCTAAAGGCAAGCTATAAACAAAAAATGATAAATTGACCTACATTAAAATGAAGAATTTTTGTTCATTTGTAAATATTAATGCAAGAATGAAAAGGGAAGGGTAAGCCATGGAGAGTGAGTCCATAATTGTAATACTTATACTCAAGAAAGGGCTACATGTTTACACAAAAATAACTACAAGAAAATAAGAAGAAGACAAAAATTTCAATAGAAAAGTGGTTGACAGACTTGAAATAGCACTTCATAAATGATATGTAATATATGAAGACATGAAAAGGGGCACATTGCATTAGTTATCAGAGAATTGTAAATTAAAACCAGTGTGAGACACTAATACCTGGTCCCCTGAGAATTGAGGAAATTATGAATACAAAGTAACATGAAGCAATAACAGCTATCATCAGCTTATGTGAGTGACAATTGTTTAAAAACTCACTTGGGAAAATGTGTAGCAAGTTTACTACTCAAGGTGATACAGTATAGCAACCTTATTGCCTGGTCTATATCACAAATATGCACATATGTACCAAAATTTTATGTATAATAATGTGCTTAGTAGAATTATTTTTAGTTGCCCCAAATAAAAACAACGAAATCATGCATCACTATTATAACTAAATTTTAGCAAATTCTTAAAATACAATACTGCATGAGAAAGATTAAACTTTATCTACATGTAACCAGAGTGTTTTATAAGACCTAAGATTATTTTGATGGTAAGATGTAACACAGTAACACTGGGATAGATGAAAGGCAGATCTTTTGTTAATTACAACTCTGAATTTGAGAAGGCTACAGGGCAGAGCCTCTCAGAGGTTGCACTGGGGGTCAGAGTGACAGTAAACTGGAGCTGAGCTGTAGGAACAGCTCATGTACCTCAAATGGCTAGGGCTAGCTGGGTTTGGTGGGGTCCCTGTGGATTATCTAATAGAAATAATTTCAGTGGGCTCTGGGGCTTTGGTTTGTCCTTAGTTGTCTGCAACCTGGCCCTGGGATGATTACAGTGCATGCATTCCCAGAGTTAGAGAATCTAATACAGGAAGCAGTTAGAGTGTGGACTTCATCAAGGGCTCAAGAAGGGGAAAGGGCTGCTCTCTAGCCAGGGGTTCAAATCAGGGTCAAGACAGCTTAATTACAAAACAAACTATATTGCACATATGAATTACCAAGATATAATGTTTAGTTTAATTAAAAAAAAAAAGCTGAAGGAAATATACGGTACAATTTAATTTACATAAAAATAAATTTTAAGGTGATGTTTTATGTATCTGTTTAGAAGTCAAAATAGTAATTTCCATTGGAGAGTAGTGATACTGATAGGGAATGAGTATGAGCTGGATTTGGGGGATCTGGTACAACGTACAACTCTTCGTTCATCTGTGTAATGGTTCACTTTTCACAATTTATTAAGCTGTACAGTTACACACTTCTGTGTGTTAGGCTTTTCCCTACAGAAAACTTATATGTATATGCATTTGTATAGTCAGTCAGTCAAACGAGTTAAATAAACTGTTTAAAAGGCTGACTTTAACTCAAATAAATATGTTATGCCATCAAATAAAGAATATACGGGGAAATCCAATTCATTCATTTTATGAGAAGTGATTTCTTCAGGAGAGCTGCTAATTTGTTATCTCTCCAAAATAGAATTTATTATAATTAATTAGACAAAGAGCATAACAAAAAGGGCAATCCACAGAAGAATTTGTTTTTCCCATCAGTTTTGTATTAGATAAAATGCATTTATGTTTCTTGTAAAATGGCCACAATAATTATTGCAGAAAAAGTACTAGAAGAGAGAATTAGCTAGAAACCAGAAACAGAGAGCAAATTAACTGAAGAAGTCATAATAACACTCGGAAAAAAATACTTTAATGACTCACAACTAAATGGCAATACTCAATAATAAGCATCCTTTTGTCTAAATGCTATATTAACGGTAACATTAATCTCATTTCATCCTGAAAGTGGCTCAGGAAAAAATTTTTAAAGATGGGATCAAACTGTAATCTCTATGGATGACTACATAAGGTAATTCTTGAAGATACAGAGAACAGTGATTCATGAGGTGTCTTGTTGAGCACTCCTCCAGTAGAAAGTAAGACGTTATATTCTATTTGACCCTGGACTATACAGACTGCCTGTTTTCCATCACAAGAATTAATAATAATCCTTTTCCCTCTCAAAAGTATTCCTGTGTGGACTAAAATTATATGATTACTCCCCAAACGACAAATTACCTATGAATTTCTCTGTTCTTCGAGTATTAGCAATAAAGCGCTTTTAATATTCAAGAGTCCCTACTATTATTTTCATCTGGGTATCAACCCATAAAACTCTAACTGGTTAGAATACGCCAGATTTCATGACTTACCACTATTACTAGAAATCTATGGCAACTAAAAGATCAGTTGATGTTCCAAATTTCCTAGTGGCAATTTTCAAATTTATTTTCTACTCATACAATGTTCAGAACTTAACACATTGAGTAACTAATTATGTTGAGTTTGAAGTTATGACAAATTGTTTACTGCTTGGTATTATTCAGCAAATGAATACATATAAATTTTTATGTTCTTTAGAACTCCTAAACTGCAAATCCTTGTTTCCGAGTTAACATTTTATTGGGAGGCAGTAGTTATATCCCTGTAAGTCGTGAGTATTATTTTCTAGTTTTATATAAAGTAAATATGTATCTAATAATCTTCCAATCAGGTATATGGCTAGACAAGAAAAAGTCTTTGAATTTGTAATTTGCCAGATGGTTTGGAACGAATATTAATTTTAGTATCTAATGTAGATATTATAATTTGCAAAGACATCTCAGAATACAATTAAAAATAATTACTTTCTCATTTCCAAAATGATCATAAAATATTTTAGTGTATGTATAATTGAATGTCTAGTTATAACTCTATATTAGGAGATAAGCCTTTTGCAGCTTTGTGTTTTAGCTATATTTTCCAGCAATTTACATATTTGATATTACTTATAATAGAAACATTTCTTATGGAAGCATTAAAATTTTTAATCTTAATGTGTAATTATTAAGTAGAACATATTTTTAAAAGTCTTATGATTTAAATATGTTGGGAGAAACTGCTATGGCTATTTTTTAATTGAAGTAGAGAATACACTAAAGAAAAAGTGACTTTATTACCTTTATCCATTTGATTACAAAAATAATCAAATAGCACTTTCTTTAGTTGACCATTTCTTTACATGTCATGTCATAGAGTATTCTTTGTTCCTGTGTCCTTAAATAAAATCTTTAATTATATAATGATATTTATGAGTAGACTTTGACTTTCATACACATTAAAACATTGCAGTAACTATTTGGTTAGATAGTAAGAAGAAATAAAAAAGATACGCAGCATTATGTATTTCTTAAGAAAAATTCACAATTCTGCAGTTCAAATTTAAGGTGTCTGCAAAGTCTCTCTCATATATACAGTTCCCTCTTCATAGTGATTAACATATATACATGTGGTATATGCTATATATATTTTTATATATACTATATATATACACATCTATAGCTATACTAATATGGTATACTATATATGTATATATACATATATACACCTATAGAGAGAGAGATATAGGTATATGTAATAATATATTTATACATATATATTATGTATCATATATAATATGTATAAATATATACATATTATACATGATAACATATATATTATTATGTATTATGTATATGTATATGTACACATTATATATTATTATGTATCATTAAATATTATGTATGTATTATATATTATGATATATGATAAGTGACGTATTATATATAATTTGTTTCCTTTTTTCACACTCATGGAAACTCAAATGACTCAGCAACATTGAAAATATCTTCTTTTCTATGCAGTGCCATGTTTGTCATAAACAGATATGCTTGAGTAAATTATTTTTATTTTTGCACTACCTATTGATCTAGTTGTTCATGTAAACTAGTTATATTTCATAGTGTTTACCATATATATGTATGGTATATATATGGTATATACTATGTATGGTATATACTATATATGGTATATATACTATATGTATGTTATATACTATTTATGGCATATACTATATATGGTATATATATGTATGGTATATACTATATACTATATATGGTATGTATACTATATATGGTATATACTATATATGGTATATATATGGTATATACTATATATGGTATATATATAATATATACTATACTATGTATATACCATATATACACCATATATATGGTAATATATATGTACATACTATATATAACATGGTAATATATATACACTATATATGTGTAAAATATATATACTATATATGTTATATATGCATGTATATGCCATATGGTAATATGTATACCATGGTAATATATATGATAATATATACTGTACATATGATAATATATATTATATGTATGGTTATATATATATGGTAATCACTATGAAGAGGTAAATGTGATGCAGAGCATGAAACCTAGGTAAATTGAACAGTTGTCTTGAAAAAGGCTCGGTGTCTAATAAGTACCAACTGATTCTTCAAGCCTTTTAGTCTACAAAGAAAATTCATTAATGTTGTTTTTAATGCAAAAGATAACTTTCAAAGGAAAGGCTCTAAGTCAAGTGGAACTTGGATTAGTTTGTCTTCCAAATACTCATTTTTATTTGTAATAACTCAGAGTGAGAACTGATCTAAGCTAGCAGACATATTTTTATTAAAATGAGTAACTTTGATTCTTTTTTAAAAAAAAATTCTTTCTTTTTATTTTACGTTCTGGGGTACATATGCAAGACATGCAAGTTTGTTACATAGGTAAACGTGTGCCATGGTGGATTGCTGCACCTATCAACCCATCTCTGAGGTATTGAGCTCTGCACATGCATTAGCTATTTATCCTGATGCTCTCCTTCACCCTGCCTGCCCTCACCACTGACAGGGCCCAGTGTGTGATGTTCCCCTTCCTGTGTCCATGTGTTCTCATTGCTCAGCTCCCACTTATAAGTGAGAAAAATGTTGGTTTGGTTTTCTGTTTCTGTGTTAGTTTGCTGAGGATAATGGCTTCCAGCTCCATTCATGTGCCTGCAAAAGACATTCATTTTTATGCTGCATAACATTCCATGGTGTATATAAACCACATTTTCTATCATTGATGGGCATCATTGATGGGCATTTGGGTTGATTCTGTGTCTTTGCTATTGTGAATTGTGCTGCGATGAACATATGCATGCATGTTTGTTTATAATAAAATAATTTACATTTCTTTGGGTATTTACCCAGTAATGGGATTGCTGGGTCAAATGGTATTTCTGGTTCTAGGTCTTTGAGAAATCACCACACTGTCTTACACAATGGTTGAACTAATTTACATTCCCATTGACAATGTAAATGTGTTCATGTTTCTTCACAGCCTTGCCAGCATCTGTTGTTTCTTGACTTTTTAGTAATCACTATTCTGAATGGCATGACATGGTATGTCATTGTGGTTTTGATTTGCATTTCTCTAATCATCAGTGATGTTGAGCTTTTTTTCATATGTTTTTGGCCGCATAAACGTCCAACATTTGTAAAGTGCCTGTTCATGTCTTTTGCCCACTTCTTAATGGGATTTTTTTTCTTTTAAATTTGTTTAAGTTCCTTGTAGATTCTAGATAATAGACCTTGGTTAGATGGATAGATTGCAAAAATTTTCTTCCATTCTTTAGGTTGCCTGTTCACTCTGATGATAATTTCTTTTGCTGTGCTGAACCTCTTAAGTTTAATTAGATCCCATATGTCAATTTGTTCTTTTGTTACAATTGCTTTTGGTGTTTTCTTCATGAAATCTTTGCCTGTACTTATGTCCTGAATGGTATTGCCTCAATTTTTGTATATGGTTTTTATAGTTTTGGGTTTTACATTGAAGTCTTTAATCCATCTTGAGTTAATTTTTGTATAAGGTGTAAGGAAGGGGGTCTACTTTCAGTTTTCTGCATATAGCTAGCCAGTTTTCCCAACACCATTTATTAAATGAGGAATCCTTTTCCCATTGCTTGTTTTTGTCAGGTTTGTTGAAGATCAGATGGTTGTAGACGTGTGGTCTCATTTCTGAGTTCTCTTTTATTTCCATTGGTCTATGTGTCAGTTTTTGTACCAGTACTGTGTTGTTTTGGTTACTGTAGCTTTTTAGCATAGTTTGAAGTTGGGTAGCATGATGTCTCCAGCTTTGTTCTTTTTGCTTAGGATTTTCTTGGCTATACGGACTCTTTTTTGGTTTCATATTAATATTAAATTAGATTTTTCTTATTCTGTGAAGAATGTCAATGGTAGTTTAATGGGAATAGCATTGTATCTAATAGTTACATTGGGCAGTATGGCCATTTTCACTATATTGATTCTTCCTATCCATGAGCATGGAATGTTTTTCCATTTGTTTATGTCCTCTCTTATTTCCTTGAGCAGCGGTTTGTAGTTCTCTTTAAACAGGCCCTTCACTTCCCTTGTTGGCTATATTCCTAGGTATATTATTCTCTTTTTAGCAATTGTGAATGGGATTTCATTATAATTTAGCTCTCTGCTTCTCTATTGATGTAAAAATATGGAATGCTTCATGAATTTGTGTGTCATCCTTGTGCAGGAACCATGCTAGTCTTCTCTGTATTGTTCTAATATTATTATATGTGCTGCCAAAGTGAGCACAACTTTGATTCTTTGTTCATCATTTCACTCTCTAAATTCGATTTGGGAAGAACAAATGTGAGGCTAATATTGGGGATAGGAGAAATTTTTCTAAGCGTTCTAGGAATTTATTTGCACCAAATTGTGTAACAGAGGGCACAATGTGGACAAGGGTTTTTTTTTTTAAAACAAACTTTATGAGTTTTGCAAAAATGCTGGTACAGTGTATTTTTATGTAAATATAATTTTGTAAATAAATGTTTATTTTTGTAGCAAATAAAATATATAATTTTGAATAAATCACATAACTCTGTAATTACTATTCTACCAAATAAACCTTTTCAAATAGATGTAGAGAAATAATAAATAATATGTGATCATAGAGAAAAATCAATGAAACTGGAATATAATAGATTTATTTTGTTTAGCCATGAAAATTGTGATCTTACAGACTAGGTCCTCTCAAAGACTTGCTATTAGGGCTTTTTAAATTCTCATTCTTTTTCATTTTGGGCAAAGGGATTTATTCTGCTTAGGAGACTATTTAACTGCTGGATAGTATGGAAGTAAAGAATTTGGGTAAGGTAATCTAGGACATCATGCCTTGGAATTACTTCCAGACTGTAGGCTTAAGAAGAAAGATGTTCATGTATGTATGATGTATCATAGTTTACTAGCATAAACAAAGAAAGAAAAGATTGAGAAATGATCTCCATGTATATTAAGCTCTGCTGTAACACTTGCTTATAAATACAAATTTATTCTGAGGCAATTGATACACTAATGAACAATTTTAGATTAATGCAAATTTCACATTTTCTTATGCATTATTTCATGTGTGGGAAACTGAATGTGGAAAATTGCTCACAACCAAATCAATTCACAGACACACATAGACACAAATACACACATCATACCTCTTACACACCTACCACTACCATTGTGTCACATGATCTTATAGTATAACATTCCATCACATTTCAGATTATCATCCATCCATCACTTCAGAATAACTCACAAGCTGCAATCCTTCCACAAGTAAACTTCAGGTATTTTCTATGTATTATGGATTTATTAAAAAATGGTCATATGTAAAATTCTGTGACTCTCAATTAGGATTCTGCGTTTTAAAAATGTGTGTTACTAAGTTTTTAGCATCATTCCATAAGCCCTCTAGTTTTCTCTGTGCAGTCTTGCATAATAACACATATTTTGTGCTGTAGCAAAACTGACTGACTATAGCAAAACTGACTATAGCAAAGTACATAGATGTACTTTGCATATAAAATAGCAAGAGATTCCAAACATTTTCACAACTCAACTCAAATGGAAGAATATTAGTAAAATAAATTCAGGTTTCCAAAGTGGCAGCATAGAAGAAAACGGTCTTCTTTCTCCACAAAGAAAACCAAAACCAAATATACAGCATTGAGTTTATTACCAGAAATAGCCAAGGGCTCAAATATGAAGAAAGGGTAGTTTGTGGGGTCACAGAGAAGTGAAAATCTCTGAGCAGATGGTAAGCGAATTGGACTTGCACATCCATGATGCTTGTGCCCTCATTCTGCCCAGCACCAAGAGTGCAGAAAATTTCCCACCAACTCACTGTTTCTACACCGTAAAAGGTTAGATGAAGGTGAACAACCAGCTTCCCCATCATGTTCAGTTCCCTTGTAGGAGATCTATGTCTGCCTTAATCCACAGGAAGCAGTGTGAGTGCCTGAAGAGAGTTGTATCACTGAAGACAAGCAGAGAAAATGGTTGAAGATGGGACTACCATCCTCAGCCCTGGAAACAAAAATAAGAAAGTAAGCACATACATACATACATACATACATACATACATACATACATACATACATAAAATAAAATAAATTCAGAAATTAAAGTCTTAACTAAAAATTCCCAGCAGAAACATGAAAATATTCATATCTATCTATCTATGAATGATATGTGATATGTGACATTTGATATATAGGTATAAATATATAAGCTTATACATTTATATATGTATATGCTATTAACTTGGTTACATTCATCCATGCTTGTAAGACTAGAAAGAAGCACTGATCTTTTTATATTAATCGCACACATACACACACAAAAAAAACTTAAAAAAATCTATGAACTTGTGATAACATACATGCTAATTAACAGTGATATTTTGAGCCAAATGTTGTAAGTAATAAAAACAATCATGCTTATAGACCAATGTAATAATTGAAGGTTTTAAAAATAGGACATAAGGCACTGTTGTTTTAATGACATTTATAAGTCCAGCAGTCTTGATGACAAAAACTAAAACATTTATATAATTAATAGCATAATCAGAGGTTAATAAATTAATTCATAATCAGCCAGAGAATAAATATTTTCAGTTTTGCAAGCTGCATGGTCTCTGCCGTAACTACTCAGTTCTGCTTTTGTAGCAAGAAAGCAATCATAGACAATATGTAAACAATTTGTCATGACAGTGTTCCAATTAAATTTTATTGATAGAAACAAGCAGCCTGACTGGACTTCAATTCATTGATGCCTGGTGCAAACCATAATCATTTAATTTATTACAAATATGATAATTACTAACATTTGAATTGATATTTGAAATTTAGAGAGTTGTATCACATAGTGTTTTAAATTTAAAACTTACGAAGTCTTCAGCAGATGTATACTATTATTAATTCTAGATGAAACATGGTATCTTGATCGGGTTGAATAATTTGATTAAATAACAAAAAATTATGTAGTTATGAATTAGAAACAAAAAAATGATCATTTTAACTCACTCTTTATTATTCTAAATACTATGCTTAAAAAGCTATGTAGTTTACTGGAAAAGAAGACCTATTAGTACTTAGGGAAAATTATTCTAAATTTATGTTCTAAATCATATTTCTTAAATGGTGATTTAAGTAGAGGATATCGAATAACAAGTTAGATTAACAGCTAGTTAATATTATACTCACCTTTCATGGTTCAGGCATAAGATAGAAAGATTTATCTGATAAACTGTATAAGGTCATGGCAAGAATCACAATACAAAGCCAGGTATTTGAACAGCAAACATTTTTAAGCCCTATTAAAAAATATTTAAGAATAAAATACTCAAGGAAAGAATTGACTTAAACTTTTGACACAACGCTTGGGATATAATCCAACTAATAGAACCTAATGACTATAATCACTAAGTATAATAATGTGTAACTTTTTTGAAAATATATACTTGCAATACTGTTACAAATTATCAGAAAATGTAAGGTAGCTTTTTATTTTCTTGATGAAGCTAAATTTTAAATAAAAATAAAAGAATACTACATTATTGGATTGTTTGCTCTGACATTTCAATTGTGTTTGCTACATCATATTCAGAATATTGATGACTGGGGCTGTTGTCAAATGAATTACTCACCCGTAATCCATTACTATAAAAATGGCATGTAATAGATTTTTACTCAGGTACCTTTACCAGCCAATATTCTTTTAGAATCTCAAAAGTACATTGTAATATACAATTGAAATATATTTCATTATTAAGCTTGATTTTGAGATATATTCCATAAATTTTGGATCTCATATTGATATATTGAATAAACTGATACTTTCTTTCATAAATCTTATAACCATTTATATAATATAAAATTATTCCCCAGAATAAAAATAATCTTGTTGCTATTCAAATCTGTTTTCTTATAATTATGTTGAACATATTTTAAATTTCAAAATTGTGATATTTTATTCTTATAAAAAGATGTTATTGTTATGATTTTCTTTATAAACTTTGCTGCAGATTAAATATATAGGATGTTTCAAAATATATAAGAATATTACTCAATAAAAGATAGTTTCATTAACCTAAAGGTAATAAGATATATTTGCAAATATAAAAAATATAATATTTTATTTAATGTAGAACATTTCATCACATTGCCACTTCTATTAGATTTTGAAATTATTTCATTGAATTTTCATTTCCAAGTGTGACACTTTTAAGTTATAGGTAAATGTAAAAATACCCAAAATAAGAACATTTTTAAAACCCTTTAGAAATCTAATAATAAAGACATTGTCTAGGATGCATCACAATATAATTTATTAATACATTTATTAATAGATCTGTGCCTCTTAAAAATTATTGTCAGGTTTTTTTGTTTGTTTTTCCTCTTAAAGCAAGCCCATCCAACAAGTGGACCACATGTAGCCCAGGGCAGCTTTGAATGCAGCCCAACACAAATTTGTAAACTTTCTAAAAACGTTATGAGATTTTTTTGATGTTTTCTTTTCTTTTCTTTTTTTTTTTTTTTTTTAGCTTATCAGCTATTGTTAGTGTTAGTGTATTTCATTTGTGACCCAAGACAATTTTTCTTCTTCCAATGTGGCCCAGGGAGGCCAACAGATTGGACACCTCTGTCTTAAGGAATTATTCTGCTCCATTTTATCAATTATTGAAGGCTATGTACATCATGTTGCCCTAGTATATTTTGGTTTCAGGAAGCATAGAACTATCTTGAACAGAGTAATGTGAGAAAATTTTCTGTTCTTGTTTCAGAGGTAGGAAAAGTTGGAGGACAAGAGTTCCATGTGAAGAGATATGAGGGTGGACTAGAGAGTGCACCATTCTCTCTTCCAATCAGTGATGGTGTCCTGCTCTAGCTAAGCAGGGAATGCATGCAGGATTTTAGAATTTGAACCACCAGTGGCAAGTTAGGTTATCCTCAGAATTGTACATCTGGTATCCTCCCAGCTTTTATTATTTCTTTGTTAAGTACTAGCCTGATTTACATGGACTTTTGACAGTTTTGAAAGATATTTGCTTCTTCCCTGAAATCAAATTACCACTGCGTGAAAATATGACTTACAGAATGGAATTATGATGAGCAAGAAGGGCGGAAGAGAACTTAAAAACACAGAAGCAGCCAGAGGTGCTGTGCTTCAATAGTAGAGAAAGATGGCATAAAATTGGTAGAATGGGATTTTTTGGACTACAAATATTACTAGTGGGAAATTCCTGAAAATATTAAGGAAGGAATCCAAGGATAATATGTGAGTTTGCTATTTATCTGTGCTTAAAGAACTCAGAATTAGTGTGATTTTAACATTAAGGAGACTCTGACATTAATTTATAACTCAAAATTTTAATGTGGCTCAATTACTTATATTCCAAATTTCCACTAAAATATATAGTTAAATTTTATATTATTTTTATATATCTATTTTCTTAAAACCAAACATTTTTCTAAAATAGCTGTAACTGGAAATGTTCTTGCTCCTCACCAATATGCCTTTTCTTTTCTTCATGGGCACACAAGTTAGTACATGTTCTAGCTTCCATTGCTGTTGGATAGTCATATAACTCTGTGTTAGCTAGTGAGATGTTGATAGAAATAATTCATACCTTTTCCATGCACAAGCCATAAAATCATCTTTGGAATATCTGTCCTCTCCCTCGCCTACTGGCAGCCTTGTAGGTCAAGTGTTCTAGAGTGCTTAACTATACAGTAGAGGAGAGAGAGTGGCAGAACAAAAAATTAACGACTATCTTATTAACGTGATGATATTTTAGAAATTATTTGTCATTCAGGCCTAGCCTTTCCCATATTATTGCCCATACAATAATAAATCATGTTTCTAAATTTTTTCAAACTTTTAAGCTTTTTCTATGTTGCAGTCCTAATCATAGAACACTTAATTCCAGTGTATAGTGAATTTGTCATTTTCCATGTACTTCAGTCAATCAGAAATAAAAAGGGCCTCCATATATTTAAAAAGAATCAAGGCAAGGAAATAAAGTGTGTGGTAATACCAAACAATGACCATTCTTATAGTTCAGTCTCATTTCATAATTTATTTTCTCTGGCAACAATATATTTTAAGGTCAGTGCTTAATGGGAGAATATTACTTGGTCTCTTTATTTTAATACATGGACCCTAAAATATAAGATTGTGCTATATCCTCATCTCTGCTTATTGTTCCCTAATATTGCCTTGTCTTTGACTTTCTAAATGTGCTTTGCTCTCCCTCCAAAAAAAGATAACAAAAAACATAGGCACAGAACTCTCAAATCATTTATTGAGAAGGTGATTTTCAAGTGAGGGTTCTTCCTTCCCTTATGACTGGCTCAGGTTTTCTCACTCAGCAACACAGCCCATCCACAGTCCATGAAGAAACCATGTCCTGTGTGGATCGCGTCACTTCCCACTCCCTTTTCCTGAACCTGGTTCCCTTTAAGTCCTTTCTGTGCCCCTCTGGATGACTATCTCTCTTTTCATTCTCTTTTGTCTCATACTGATGGCCAGTGGAATTGGGTTTAGCAGTAGAGGGAAGGTGGGAAGAGACATTTGGGAAGACATTCCCAAATATCTCTTCCCAAATGAACATATGCACAGTGTTTAGCCCTTTCACTATATCCAAATTAATCAACTTCTGGGCACCAACTCTAAACTCTTATTCTGAATGTATCTCCCTAACTTTCTTATTGTGGGCTGCTGTCAGCCAAGCCCTGTGGGGGGCGGTGGGGAAACAAGAAAAATAAAATAAAATTTTCACATTATCCCCCCATGGATTCATTGATCCCTTGCAAAGAGCAGGACTGTGTTCTTCTTTCTTGGTGGTAATATGAGGATTGCATTACTAATCAGTGTTCTCTTATGTCGGGAATTGCCGAGGATATTTCTTTCAGGCATCTTCACCAGTCTTTTTCCAAGATGCATCTGCTAAACCTGCCCAAATGGTGAACCTCTGGATTGAACTCTTTGGAAGTGTGCTTACTTCTTTCTACAGATGTGGTTGTGATTCAGCCTTACCTGAAATAAAATAAATGTTTTGGTGGGGGGGACTACTGAGGAATTTCTGACTGCATATAATTCTTTATATGTCTCTTTCATTTCTTGATGAAGACAAGAGCCTGTTACTATTGGCACTGGAGAAATTGTTACCAGAGAAATGACTTAATCTCTATCTACTGACCCTTTCATAGTTTAGATGTTATTAAATACACTTTAACAACTCTAATTCAATATTTAATTGCTCTAAAACTATAGCCTATCAAAAGAGCCTCCTTTTTAGTAATCAGACATTTTTTTTCCATATGAGTTCTCTAACATGGTCCATTCTCTGCACTACAGTTTGCATAAATACACCTGTTGTCTGTTTTTTTAATTAATTAATTAATTAATTAATTAATTATTTTTTGTGTACTAGCTTGACTGTTTTCTATTAAGTTGCATTATGGTGAGCAATTACAGTGCCCAGATGGCTTTCAATCCAAATTGTATTATTTAGTTGAGTTTCATGTCAGTTGGCAGTGTCTTCCATATCTCTTTGTAAAATATACTTAAACGTCATTGAGCAGCCATAACTCACCAGCATATAAAAAAATATTTGTGGAGTGTGTAATAAAATTACTGGCAGGTGTCTCCTGATGGTGATATATACACATACTCAGAAACCCACATATTTATTTAATTTTCTTTTTTCTTCCCTGGGCATAGACAACTGAACATGTTTAATAAATTTATATTCAAACTCAGATTATGACAATATATTCTCTGTAATAAGCAAGTTGATATCATTTTCCTTCGTCTGAAGAAATCTATCAAGATAACTTTAACAAATTGTTTTCTACAACATGGGAAGACAAGGACAAAAAAAAGACAAGGACAATTTCAGTTTTTAAAATAAGAAAAATTTTGTATCTACTGTGGCAATAAGTACAATATGTCCCTAGGAAGCAATAAAATGGTTTGACAAAATGAGTGTTTTGTCCAGTTTCTGGCTTTCTGCTTGGAAAGAGGGAAATATGCAATGCATACATTGTATGTGATGGTCTTAATATTCTTTAGAAAAACTATGTTAAAGTAAGAATATTGGCCGGGCGCGGTGGCTCACGCCTGTAATCCCAGCACTTTGGGAGGCCGAGGCGGGCGGATCACGAGGTCAGGAGATCGAGACCATCCTGGCTAACACGGTGAAACCCCGTCTCTACTAAAAATACAAAAAATTAGCCGGGCGTGGTAGCGGGCGCCTGTAGTCCCAGCTACTCGGGAGGCTGAGGCAGGAGAATGGCGTGAACCCGGGAGGCGGAGCTTGCAGTGAGCCGAGATGGCGCCACTGCACTCCAGCCTGGGCGACAGAGCGAGACTCCGTCTCAAAAAAAAAAAAAAAAAAAAAAAAAAGAATATTTTCTGCTGAGTTAATTAGACAAAAACTTCTTATTTTTTTAGAACCTTTTCTGCCTTGGATGAGAGGAATCAGGCCACAATAAACTCTGACATTTGTTTTACCTTCAGTTATCTACAGCCAATATACATTAACCTCAGAACCATAGTGAGGCATTTATAAGATATAGCAAATTTCTCTTATGATCCTTCTAAGGAAAATTGAATTACCATATACAATACTTCTATAGAACTATATCTGTAATTTTAAACAAATTTATTTTGCTCCTGAATAAAAGATCTGTGCTTTCCTCTGGAACGGTCATGTTTTTACTGCCCATTGGATGCAGTTTCAAGACTCACCAGCTCTTCACCTTCCATGTGTAATAGCAATAAGAAGGCTAATAATTCATAATTTAGCACTGCTTTTATGTCTCCTATATGTTGTATACTATATGGATAATCACAGGCTATGACCGCAATGCCATCCTCCATGGACATTGTCATTTTTTAGACCTCATACTCTTATTAATGATGATTTCAGTACTTTTTAACAGTTTTATTGATGGATGATTTACAAAACATAAAGTTCATCCATCATAAGTTTAAAATTTAATGATTTAATACATTTGTAGAGTTGTGCAACTAACAACAAAATTCAGGTTTGGAATATTTCCTTATCCCAAAAGTTCCCTTGTATTAATTTCACTTAACTCCTGCTTCTCTTATTAGCTCAAGGCAAGAGCTTTACTGTTTTCTTTTTCTTTTAATTTATCTTTTCTAAAGCTTTCTTATAAATGGAACATACAATGTGTACTATTTTGGATCTGAGTTCCTTTACTCATAATAATATTTTTAAGATTCATCTAAGTTGTGCTATATATATCAGTAGTTATTCCTTTTAATTTGCTTAATATTTTGTTGTATTGATATACCACATTTTGTTTATCCCTCCACAAGTTGAAGAGCATTTGAATTGTTTCCACTTTTATGGCTATTGTCAGTAACACATTCTAAACACTTGCGTACTTGTCTTTTCTTGGATATATATTTGGTTGTAGGGTAAATTTATATTTAACATTTTAAGAAACTAACAAACTGTTCCTGAAATGGATGTACAATTTTACATTAACCTCAGAATAATAGAATGATTTGAGTTTCTTTACATCCTTACTTTGTTTGTTTGTTTGTATAACAATTCTAATAATATACAGAAATATCTCCTTGGAGATTTTGTATTTTCCTAATTAATAATGATGTTGAACATCTTTTCACATACTTATTAACCACTAATAAATAAAATAAGAAAAAATTGGATTTCAAAGTTAGTTTTCTCTTTTTTTCAATCTTCTGGGATTCCATTTGCAATTATGCCAAAATATTTGATGTTTTATTACAGGTCTGTGAGGTTCTGTTTATTTTTTAGGCTCAAACTTGCTTTTTCTCTCTGTATTTTATGATTTTAAAGTCAATTTATATTTAAGTTTATCAATTCTTTTCTGACATTACGAATCTAAAGCTGGTTTACCTTAGTTGATTTTTAAGTTTTACTTATTGTATTCTTAAATTCCACACTTTCCCTTTCTTTTTATAATTTCTGTGCCTTCATTAGAAGTTCAATTTGTTGATTTATTGTTGCCATACTTCTATTTCTTTTCAGACATTTTTCTTTTTCATATATCAATTTTACATAAATTTATCTGTGATACTCTATTTGAGAACTAAGTACACTAATCAATGGATAAACATCAGCTCTTGTTGCTGCATTTGCTTCAATTATTAAGTTGAATGGAATAGAAATTTTTTTCTGCAAGAATAATACACTTTCTCCTTCAACTTGGTATCCCAAGTTTCTTTATTATTTACCTAAACACATATGTAGCCTATAGATTATGCAACATTGCCAGAGTTGCTGAATGAATCATTAACTTATTCAATTCTTTACTAACTTTATCACACACTTTCTAAAAATAATTTCCTTCTGGGAGAATTGCTAAACTACTTCCCACAATGCAAATAACCATGTCTGCAAGCCAAGTTTTTTATTGTATTGCATTAAATGGCTCAATTTTCCTACCAAGAATTATTCATAATTGTACTAAGCTGTCCTTTTAGTATTATGCCAGAATTCTTGTATTGTACTCATTCTCATACAATTTACCATTTTGCAATCCTGAAATGTTCATTGTCTTACCTATTAAGCATATAAGATTACAAAATGATATTGTGATAATATGTAAAAAAGTATCCCTCCTTTCAAATGGCTTGTTATCTGATATACGTGTAAGACAGTTACGTGTTATGGGACAGAATCCATAACCTGGGTACAATAATGCCACATAAGAATACAAGGACAAGTCGGTATGTAACCTCATTCATTTTAAACTGTTTACATTACAGTTTGCAGTTAGGGAAAGAGTAAAAGACAGTGAGTTAAGCTGCAAATATAATATAATATGTCTAGGTTTTACCATAAAAGAAGCAAGAAACACAAAATTGGTAACATGCTCACTTTTCTTCCTGAATTTCTAATACTATTTGTCCTAATTTAGTGGGGTGGATATTCTACATAGCATTCCCAGAATATAATGGGCTATAATGCTTTGCCATCCATTAGACCCCCTTTTTTTTTCCCCCGTGGAATTTAGATCTTTCAGTAAACTTTGCTGTCTCTCTGAGTCCTGGCTTTGGGTGTGCAAATTATTACAGCAGTTGAACTCATATAATTATATAATATGTTTTCTTCCAGAGGTATGGCATACAAACATGCCCACTAGGATACTTAGCATCTATACCACAGTTAGTAAAAAGCATTTAAAAACTCAAGCAAATAAACGAAGGCAATAACAGTTTCAAGGCCCCCAATTATTGCATGAAGCAAGGGCCAGTAATATCTCTTGTTCTTTGCTAAAAAGTTTGCAAAAAAGTTGTTTTTCTTTTAATACTATGTAGCCTAACTACAAATGAGTATAAACCAATTATACAACCTCAAATGCAATCTTTTCACTTTAAAGTAAGAATTGTATTCTGAAGAGACTGATAAAAATAATTGTGAACAAACCATCGAAGATTAAATACAATGACCACAACCACTGTGATATAAACCTTGTTTTGTTTTGTAGCAGTGAGATACTTTTATTCTCCTGTAAGTGGGTGTAACAGTATTATGTGCCACATCTTTTTAATCTAGTGTTATAATATTGAAATGTTGATGATGTTATACCTTATATTTAGTGAAAACTTATTCTGAAATTTCTATCTAAATAGTTCTTAATAAGAGTCATACTAACACTAATAATAATAGCAAACACTTATATAGCACTAGCATGCCCCTTGGTACTACTGCAAGAGCTTTACATATGTTAAAAATTGTAAAGTCACTTAAAAACATTTCTTAATTTTAAAATTGTACTATTTTTTTCAAAAGACACACTGGCTTTTATACCTAGAACAAAATATAAATAGTTTAAATAGTAAAAATTAAGAGAAAAAATTTTAAGGTTTAGGCTTTACATATGAAAAAGTTGAATTCTGAAAGAATATCTGTTTTATCTTCAATGTATGTTATTCCATAAGCCATAGTTGTAACAAATGTTTTGGCACATAGACAGCAATTAATAGAAAACAAATACCTCTTTTGTATTATATTTGATTCCAAAAGGGACACAGACACTATTAATAAGTATTGTATATATAATGTATTTATATACATTGCATATATATGTCTATACATATATACATTGCACAAAAATATTTTAATCAAGTCACATTGTTTAAAATGAGCAGCAGTAGTCTGTAAAATATGCTATTGAAGAGCAAAATATCAGATAATTTCTATTAAGCCTCTAACAGTTTATTTATAAATCTCTGTGTCTCTTCAAGGCTTATAAATTCAAGAAACCCACAAAAAATATTTCAGAGAAGAAATAATAAGTAAAATATTTTGCAGTAAAATCCCTAGTTATGGAAAAGAAAAACAAGAATAGTTGACTCCCTACTTCACAAATGTTAGCACGTAACAATGGCATAGAAAAAGATGTCTAACCTATCTCTATTTCTGTATTAAACTCAAAATCAACATCCTCATATACAACACAAAGAGTTTCACAAAGAATTTTTCCCTGTTAGGGAGAGCTATTATATATTAGAGTGACTTTCAGCCATGAAATCTCTTCCTTCAGAAGTCCTTAAAATGCAAGAAGTTCACACCTCTTCTTTGTGCCTAACTTATGATTTTGCCCTAAGTATGGCCTAGATAACTTTTCATGGGTCATTGTCAGTCAAATTTAGTTATTTATTGCTTATGGTGAGTGGTGCCCTAGCTTGACTAGTTGTGAAACAATGAAAATTCTGGGGTAAGTTATTTCATGTAGTCTACAATTAAGATATTCTGGAGAAAGATTCCATAAACTGTACTGTTTTTCGTAGATATCCACAATAAATAATTTAACACTAAAGAGTAGAAGAAAGTTTTCCAAGTCATGATACCATTACAACAATTTAGGAGAGACATTTAGTTACAAGAATGTATAATTGCAGTGAAGTCTGATTGGATGGGAGGAAAGACTTATTCTGAATATCTAAGAAGGTGATATGCTATTGAAAATGCCCATCCCATTTTCTATTGGCATAACTTTCACCTATTGTTTTCTAGATCTGCAAAACTACATTTAAAATTAGATTTTCTGAAGCAAGAAAAATTTTACTGTGTTTTTAAATATGTCTTGATAATATATTGTGGAAATAAATGAAGACTACCCACATGGGAAAAGAAGCAAAGCTTATTTATTCATTCAGTTTGCAAGGGAGTCAGCATCATCATTTTGATTTGGCAAAAACTCAAATGTAGACAGAGAATTGAGAAAGCTTTATAGTGTAAACAAGGGAAGCCATCAGGTATACTCTGATTGGAGGTTACTGTCTTGGGGAAGGTGGAGATGATTTATGTCTAGAAGCTAAGAGTAGAAGAAGGTCATTTCACGTGATCAGTTAGTGCAGTATATTTGGCTTTCTCTTGTTGGTCCTAAAGTGAAAACTGGAGGCGGGGAGCAAAAATGCACTCAAATTAGTTAGACCAAGTGTAGACCCTCTGGAGCTGATTGCTGCATAGGTTGTGGATTGGATTCCTGGGCTGGTTGTTGAGGTTGTCAGTCAGAGTTCTCTTTGTATATATGGTCTCACCATTGCACATTTATATATTTATTTCCTAATCATAATGCTGTTACTTTAATTTTGTATACTTTAAAATATATGTGAACTTTTTATTTTTTTAATTTGTGTGGGTTCATAATAGGTGTATATATTCACGGCACTTTAAAAACCTCATTTTAGACCTATGACAAGTGTGTCTGAAAAAATAATATAACCACATATATGTGCATATAACACAAATGACAGAAGAATCAAATATCCTTGCTGTACTGTCACTCAACATCACCACAACCATCTCTTTATTTTTATCCATGAGGATTATTTCTCCGAAATCTAATTTAAACATCACACACTGGTTCCTTGTGAGCAAAGCCTCTAATTTCTCCATCTGCCACCGTCCCCTAAATATCTACATTACTATATTGCATATCAATTAATATCTTATTTTGCTCACTTCCAGGGAAAATGCCATATAAGTTTTCAGTGCTATGCCTTTTATGCAAGGCTCAACGATTTAAATTACTTTGGCTGTGAAAAAATGGTGAAAGTGATGGTGTGCCCATATTTAGCAAAGGCTCAAAATACAAATGATTTGAGGAATTTTTGCTTGTCACTTGGTGATTCTACCACTGCCATGGGAAGGACTTGCCTATACTAAACTTCTGGCTTCAGGAGAAGTTAGAGAATACATGAAAAAACAGGCAAAATGCAGATACATAATTAAGTTCAACAAATATTAGCCAAAATCAATGTAGATTGGTCAAGCCAAGACATGACATAGCAAACATGACATTGTGTACTATGTTTTGGGTGTATTTTTACAAAGCAAAGTCTGATGTACAGATTGAAAATTGCACTGAAGCTATATGAGTTTGTGTCTATATCAGGAAATACATTTCCCTGGATTCCTCTCTGCTACTGCAAAAGATTTTAGTCTCCTGAGACTTCACATACCATGAGAATTAGATTTTTAGACATGTGTCTAATAGATTCCATTGATTTGAAGCGATAAACATTTTTTTCTCTTGCTTTCCAGACAGAGCCAAATGGTTACAGCCTGTACTAGGTCCCTAGGTTAAGCCCTTGAGAGAAAGAGCCTAGAGAGTTATTTCTCTATGTATTTATATGTCAAAAGGAATAAAGCCACAGAAAGTGAAGATGTCTTTATGCCCTAAAAACTCAGACACATTCAGCTTTCTGGCTGCTACAGAAAATCTTTTTACATACTATAGGTTTGGAATAAAGACTCAGGTCCATTACTTTTCCAAGGAGATCTTTTCGGGTGGAGTTTGGGAAAACTGTCTCCTTCCCCTTGTAAGCAGAGCATACTTTTATCCTGTAGAGTGCCTGGCTTGCCTATAGAGTACCTGGCTACTTTTGTAGGGAGAATTACGTAGAATTCTCATTGCATCATCCCAGCAGTAAGCATGAGAACAATGGGGGAGACAATGCACTCATTATTTACTGTGAGTAATAAAGAACAAATCTGTCTCTGTCTCAGGCACAATGTGTGTGCATTTGGGATAAAATTATGAAAAATGAATATTCAAAAGCCAATAGCCTAACTTAATTACTTGAAATAAGACAGAATTTAACCCTTAAAAATACAACAGTCTTCAGTTTTTAGATCTGAGCCAGTTCTATATGCTATATGCTATGAGAGTTTTAGGGAAAAAAATATGTATTTCTGTGCAGTAGCAGACAAAAAGAAGTAATCCTTAAACCAACCATTTAACCAATTGAATTAGAATTAGGGTATGGTAGACTGATGCTCACAAAAACAACACTGTTTTTGAATGTTGAGAATGGAAAACAGTATACTAACAAATACATTCCAATACTGATAAGCCATATGGTAAGATTCAATTTAATAAAATTTAAACTAAAATATGTAGGTCAAAATTTCCCTATGCAATACATACATGAATGTAAGGAAAATATAACAACATGAGAAATAATACTACCTAACAGGGTCCAGAATAATGCTAAAGGCCTTTTGTACAAATAAATGAAGAAATGAATGAATAAATAAATATAAGAGCTCCTGAGTATAGAAATAATAATGTAGGAGAACAACTAATCAAAGAATGATGAATAAACAGTGACTAAGACATTAGCTAATTTGATTGACATTTTTCACCTGGAGAAAACCATGACTCCTGAAACTGAAGTCACAAATTAATCACAAACGACAAATGAGAAGTTGTCATTAAGAACCACTGACTCAAGATTTAATGTTTTAAAATGTGAGCTAAGATAAACAATGTGTAAATATGAGGGCTTACTTTTTTTTGGAAATAAAAAGCCATATTTTTGGTACCCACTTGATCCTGGCAAATTCTTTTAGGAAATGAGAAATAACAGATGGGCTTAATAAAACAGTACAGAATCTCCTTCAGGAAACCAAGGAGGGTAAACCCATTGTAGAAATTAAGCAAAAATAAAGACATAGGAGATAATGAGCAACACAGTCAATTCAGGAACTTCTTAAAAGGGAAAATAATTGGCACAGGAGAATTGTGAGAAAGCAGCATTGAGAGACGTGCAGCAAATTGGGACACGAGTTTGGGTTTTTTATTTTATCTGACTCAGAAAAGTCTTGCTCATGATCACAAGTGGTTTTGGGTTTTCAAGGTAAGCTGTGGGTTGTCTGATTGATTGCCTTCAGAAAGTCAACAGAAATGCATCTTTCCTTCTAACAGTATTTATATTATCTCATTTATTTTCTATTATAGAAAGTGAGATTATAAAATCGTGGAAGAAGGCTTTGTTTTTTTGTTTGTTTTGCTTTTTTTTTTTTTTTTTTGAGACAGTCTCACTCTTGTTGCCCAAGCTGGAGTGCAGTGGTGTGACCTCTGCTCACTGCAACCTCCACCTCCCGGGTTCAAGCAATTCTCCCACTTCAGCCTCCCAAGTATCTGAGATTACAGGTGTCCACCACCATGCCCGGCTAATTTTTTGTATTTTTAATAGAGATGGGGTTTCACCATGTTGGCCAGGCTGGTCTCGAACTCCTGACTTCAGGTGATCCACCTGCCTCAGCCTCCCAAAGTCCCGGGATTACAGGTGTGAGCCACCACACCCGGCCCCGGAGTAGTTTTATACCAAGATTCATGAAATTAATGTTATGTATATGTGTATATTTAGATAATTGATAGATAAAGTTAATATTTCCAGTTCTGAGAGGTGCAGAGACAATGTATTCTGAAGTATACCCAGGTAGGAATTGAATTTGCTAATAAAAGGCCCTAATAACATATAGATTGAATCATTATAAAGCCTAAAAGGAAAAAGTTGTTTCTAAGGTTAATGAGTCCAATGATTACATTTTCTCTTTCTCTCATTCTTCTGCTCTGCCTCTCTACTTAGTCTTTTCAATTCAAAATGTTTTTTTCAGAATAATAAAGACATTTGGGGAAATTCATAGTAAATACAAACCCTGGGGATCACATACATTAAAATACATAATTACATATTCTTATTTTACTATAGATATGTTAATTGGCTCTTACTTGATGCCCAATATTCAATTCTGGCTTGTTAGTTTGCTTAAAGATTCACTCTTAAAATTATGTTATCATTCTGATTCATTTCTCACAGAAATCATAAGGGGTAGCTGTTAGCCGGGAAAGAGCTCCATCAACTTAACTGTTTATATAGCCTGAGAATTTTAAGATCCCTATTCCCAATGTTGTAGATATACTACCACTACAACCCCAAAGAAAAACATTCAAAAATACATTTTCTGATCACTGTATACTATAATGATTCAAAATCCATAAAAGAGAATGCAAAATAAGTTTCCTAATTATATGATGCTATAACTATATTCAAGTCTTTATGCTCATCCAATTTATCTATGAACACATCAGCTACCTTAATTTTGTTTTCCATAACCACAGGCTCAACTACACATGGAAATGAGTGTGGCCATCTAAACTCTTAAGACACTCTTAAGTGAGGCTAAGGACACCTTAGTAATACAAAGTCAAAAGTGCATAATAATTAAAACAATGAATGAAAACTTTACAAAAAGCTCTGTTACAGGTCTGTTGACTTTCCTTGTTTAGGAAATTGCATAAAAGTGCAAATCATACTTAGAATATAAAACACTAGTCATCGCTATGCACACTAACATTTTCCCTCTTGGATCTTAGGTAATTTGAGGAATAAATTGGTGTCATTTGCATTCTATTCCAGAAGACAAACCTGCTGCTATTTTATCCAGTATTTTATCCTAAGATTTGTTTTGCTTTCTACCTTATTTTTCTCACCCCAAATTTTTATTAGATTTAATTTATTTTGCCCTATTTGCAAGTTTATTTGGAAAACACTAAAAGGGATATTAGTTTAGAAAATGGACTTTTCTCAGCTGTAGCATTAGTATGTGTTTTGAAAGAGATTAGTAAATATTTTTTTCTTTGCTATTTAAATGCAGAGGTTTAACATATTTCCAAAAGTCTTGGAACTATAGTACTATTTGTGTCCCCATATTTGATAGTTTTACAGGGTATTAATCTATCAGAAAAAAATAAAAACTTTACAAAATCTGATTCAATTCTTCAAAATGGGAAAGGATAAAAATCACACCTTAATGAGTAGAATTTAGTTTTATTTTTTACTATAATTATACAAGTGTATTCTTTAAGCTCAGATTCTTAAATCACCACATGGTCTATAATGTACTTGTCTTCCTATTACCAACAACATGCATTCATTCAGTGAATGTCAAGTGACCAGTATATGTCAGGCATCACACTTATATAAAAACATGAAAAAAGGAACTCTTTAAAAATAAACTCACGGCAATCAATGGGTTTTTATATGAAAATTAACTCTTTGGTATAAACCTCCTACTACTGAAGTAATCATTAATTTGATGGTCACTTAATCGGCAAACTGTACAATTTATCTTAAAATTATATGAAAATGTTAATGCAGAGGTAAAGTTAAATGTATCTGAATATGTTTAAAAATTCTAATTTCTGAGGTATAGTTAGACAAATTATAAATCTAGTCACTGAATCCGTCTTGAAAACAAATAGAAACACCTATAGCAATGCTGGCTTGGAAACCATGTGAAATTAATATTGCCTTTGGATTGCAAGTGATTTAAATACTGTGATAAATGTTTCAATAACTATCGTTAGTATCTGCTGATGGGTGGTGCTGAAGAGTGAAATAAGTTATTTTATTTAAAGCATTTAATTTTTTTTCTCTTTTTCTGATTTCTGTAAAAATTTGTTACTGCAACTTATATCTTTAATATATATTAAATAATCTTGTAATCACTACTACACAGTAGTGAGAAGAGGCATTGCTAGGAGATCATTATGAGATTATGTAACAAATATATGAGTTTCTAATTTTTTTCCCCAAAGAGGAAATAAATTGTTTATAAACTGCTTAAAATCCACATTAGGAGAAAGTGGTGAGATAACAGACCAGAAAAGTTCATTTATTCATCCACATAGCTTGGGAAAACACTCCACCTAGAAGCTCCCAATGATGATCAGACAGAGCATATGGCACAACTTGAACTCCAACCTCCAACCTCACTAGTTTTCCCCAGTTTCCTGTATTAAACAAGGCATAGTGCCTCTGATTCTTCTCACGTTCTATTATTAATATTCAATACATTCTTCCTCCTTTTTAAATATAACTAAATCTGTCCAGTCTTTCCTAAATTATACTTTATTACGATAAACAGTTCAATATCCCTGATCTAAAATTTTTACTTCTAAAAATTTCTAAAAGCTGAAAACTTTTTTTTCTAACACATTTGGTGGGGGAAAATAGAAGGCAAAATTAACAGGTGTGTCTATATTGTGTTATCTAACATCCTCTGGAGGTGTTAGGAGATATATTAAGCATTTTGTGGATTTTCAGAAGTTCAGCAAAATATTAATTTCGATAATTTCCTGGCCCAATTATTTCAGATATGTCAGAGATGAATTATTCCGATTATATTTTCTAGAGAAAAAGAAAGTTTCTAATGGTAGCCCCCAGTCCAATAATTTTTTTTGTCATGCACAAATTCCTGAACCATTAAAGAAAAGGCTGTTGTTCAGCCAATCTTGGACTCACATCAATCTACATACAGCATGATTATATGCTTAGCAATTTAATGATATCTTTTTAAAAAAGATAAACATTAATCAACAACAAAAGCATTAATAATAAACTGATCAATACCTACATATTGAGAATGACTCATTCACCAGCTAACCTGAAGAGGTAGGAATATTTACACCACATTTGAGAAAGAAATAAGAAGTTCAAATATAAAAGTGTTTATTTCTTTAAATATAATGGGGACATGTAATCTAAAATTAACTACAGATGATATACATCTTGTAGATGAATGAATATTAATATACACTTTTTGGATTAAATTTCTACTTATACAAGCTTTATTCATCATATTGAAGCCCAAATATGTCTTCAAAGAGAGAAATACATATTTCGCTTAGACTTGAATCAAGTTTTGGCAACATGTTTCTCTGTGTAGTTTAATGAGTTCAAAGAAAATGTAAAAGCTAAAATCAACATTCAGGATTTTAACTTTCTGTGTAGTCCCTCTCCACTTTTATGTGTGTATATTTCTTTCTGTTTGTGTAAATTAAGGTGTATATGTACGTGTATAAAGTATGTGTGTATATATGTGTGTATACTATACATGTATAAAGTATGTGTATATAAACTTTATATACATACATATACACATATATATATATACAAAAAGTATGTGTGTATATATGTGTATAGGAGACAAATGTTTTAGAAATAAGCACATAGAGAAAAATAATTTAAGTACAACAGGTGTTATTACAAATTCAGTATAAATAAGCTATAATAATATATTACTTATTTCACAGCATAATTTTTAGGACTGAATTTTATAAGTGTTTTTCTAAAACATGATAACATAAAAGGAGAAACAAAATTCTTATATCTTAAATTGATAAACATCTTTTCTCTGCCACAGCTTATATGTGACATTAAGCACATTGATGTTTTAATTAATTTTAAGATTTGTGACCAAAATATGCAACTTCATTTAGTGGAAACTCTTTCTGAATTATTTTATATGACTGAATCATAAAAAAGAAAATAATGCATAAAGAAACTCATATCAAATGATATATACACTAATTAGATTACAGATAAGAATAAAAATGATATTAATATTTCATGAAAGCAAAGATCATATATCAAATTAGTATAAATAGCCTAAGCAGAAAGTTTTAGAGAATGTGTTTATTGCATACTTCTCTGTTGCTCAAACATGTAGGAATATAAACTAATTGAGTCAAGTTGAGTTGCAATATTAGTTTTATCCACCTGATTATGTGTAGCATGCATAAACAGGAAAGATGGGAATTGAAGTGAAAATGTGAGATATCTATAATAGATGTTATGCATAAATTTGCAGGCTTTTTAAAATGCCTAGCTTCTTAAAACTAATTTTGTAAAGTTTCATTCAAAAATATTTACTCAGAAGAGTCTGTTGTTCTGTCTCTACCAGTTTTGTGTGGAGTTAAAAAGAGATGTAAGGCATGTCTGATTTTTTTCTCCCTGATACATCTTAATTTTACTTCATTTTTACATGTGAAAGTATTAGAAGTGAAAAGTAGTAAATGTTCTTGAGTGAGATGGTACAATTCAAAAATGTATTCAGGGAAGTGAGAAATGATTAGAAATTGGTTCAACTAGTCAAATATATTTGTATGGTGAAAGTTGAGCCTTAAATTTGCAAACACAGTTCAAGGCGTAACATGGATGGGTGGAAATTAGGAACAGGAGGATTACAAGGGCAGATAAACTGCATAATTGAGGTGGAGATACAGGAAAAGGCAAAGATTAACATAGTCTGGAATGAAGTAAATTCGTAGGTAAAGCCATAGAAAGTAAGCGGACATAATGTGGAAACATTCACTCTGCAGCAACTGACCTGTGCCAAATACTGACTGTCCACGTTAATTCAATGTATCAACTTGGCTGGGCCACAGTGCCTAGATATTTCCTCAAACATTATTCTGGATGTTTCTGTGAGGCTATTTTTGGATGAGGTTAACATTTAAATCAGTGGATTTTAAGTAAAGCAACTGCCTACATAATGCAAGTGGAGGTCCTCCAATCACCCGAAGAAAACAGAGATTGGCTTCCCCTGAGCAAGAGGAAATTCTGCAGAAGACTGCATTCAGACTTGAACTGCAATATAAGTATTTTTTTTTCTGGGTCTCCAACTTGATGACTTTTGGACTTGAACTGCAACATTGGCTCTTTCCGGAATCTTAACCTGATGCCCTTTGTACTTGAACTATAGTATTTGCACTTCTCTGGGTTGCCAGCCTGCCAGCCTACCCTGAGATTTTGGACTTGCCAGTTTTCATAATTGTGTCCGTCAAGTCCTTAAGTATCTTTCTGTGTACACATACGTATATTGGCCAAGGTCCATGTGTTTCTCTGGAGAACCCTAATTCAGGGATCTTGGACTTTTCTGTTTCTGAAAAAACATATGTAAACCCTGTAACTTTTCCCTGAAAATTAGCCTGAAACCATAAAAATCTATTCTCACAATAAAATGCTTTAGAGTACTGTGAATTTTTAATAGAATTCTAAAGTAGCATGTGTTAATATTTTGCACTTTTCTCTCAATGACGGCAGTACATTTAGGTAAGACCATGTACGTAAGTTAGATTTTTTAAAGATATGATATTTGCTATGGTTTTCAAATAGTTCAATAGTACATAGCATTAGTAGATATATAGAGAGTTGTAAAACAAAATTGCTTAATAATTTTGATTGATTGTAATTTTTTTCTAATTTCTCACTCTTATTTAGTACACCATCATTGCTGTTTTAAAATGATTTCTGCCTAATTGAAATGACTCTATATTTCTTCTAGTAACTTTCAATAAAAATGTCCTGAGATTTAGCAATTAGTACAAGATCTATTGAAAGACCTAGAAATAAAACTATGAAGGATTTTCTACAATTGAAAAATCAAGATTCAAATCAAATTTAGTTCCTTATAGATTCTGAATATCAAACCTTTGTCAGACACATAGTTTGTGAATATTTTCTCCCATTCTGTAGGTTAGCTGTTTACTCTCTTGATAGTTTCTCTTGCTATGCAGAAGCTCTTCAGCTTAATTAGGTCCCACATCAATTTCTGTTTTTGTCGCAACTGCTTTTGAGGACATAGCCATAAATTACTTGCCAAGGCCAATAAGGAAGAGAATTTTGTTGGAAAAGCTGTGGAGAAAAGGGGCCTTTACTCACTGTTGGTGGGAATGTAAATTAGTCCAGCCACTGTGGAGGGCAGTTTGGAGATTGCTCAAAAAATGAACTAACGTTCAATCCAGCAATCCCATTATCCAAGGAAAATAAATTGTTCCACCAAAAGGGTACATACACCCATATGTTCATTTCAGTGCTATTCACAGTAGCAAAAACATGGAATCAATACAGGTGCTCATCAACAGTCAATCTGATAAAGAAAATGTGGTACACATATACCATGAATACTACGCAGCCATAATAAAGAATGAAATAATGTTCTTCCAACATCATGGATGCCGCTAGAGGCCATTATCTTAAATAGACTAAGGCAGAAACAGAAAATCAAATATCGCATGTTTTCACTTACAAGTGGAAGCTAAAGTTTGGGTGCTCACGGACATAAAGAAGTGAACAAAAAACGTTGAGGACTATTAGGAGAGAGAGAGGGGAAAAGGGCTAAGAAAACTACCTATAGGGTATTATGCTCACTACCTGGGTGTCGGATTCAATCATACCCCAAACCTCAGCATCACCCAATGTACCCTTGTAACAAACCTCGACGTGTACCCCACCTGATTCTAAAATAAAAGTTAGAAAAAAAAGAATTTAGTGATTAAATTTTTAATTTCTGTGACTGCGTTGTTTATATATATGAAAATATGAGCTGTTTAATATTATCTTAAAATCCTAATTGAATTCACCTTTGACACTTTTTTATTGTTCTTTTTTTAACTTTTATTTTAGGTTTGGGGGTACAAGTGAAGGTTTGTTAGGTAGGTAAATAAGTGTCACGGGGGTTTATTGTACACCTTATTTCCTCACCCAGGTAGGAAGCTCAGCACCCAGTAGTTACCTTTTTGCTCCTACACACTTTATTTTTAAAATAATTCTGACTTCAGTATTATCTCTGAAAAGATGTGCAAATTATTTTCTCTTAAAAATTACAATAGCAAATTAATTAAACATCTAAAACTCTAATTAATAGCATTTTACAGCAAGAAAAAGGAAAGAAAACCAATGAAATATATATGATTCATTCAAGTTATTGTCTTAGAGAAAGACCATGTACTTGTCTCCTCTTAGATAATTGGAATTTTGGAGTGAAAGAGAAGGGAGAACTCTGGAAAAGGTTCATTCCAAACTGAATTAAATAAAGTATTTTGTGAAAATACTTGGTTATTTTGTCTTGAGATAAGACTTTTAGCTCTCTACTATCATTATAATTTATATAACCAAATGTGTCTGAAATTTGAAAAAAAATAGAGCATTTAGAGAGATACTTTAAAAATAAACTTAGAGAAGTAAACTAACCATTAAGGCATTACAGTGAATATTATTTTGTTATTAAGCAACCTTTTTTAATTCTACTTTGTGATTATAGAAAAGCAAGGATAAAGATAACTGAAGTGGAAAATGTATTTACCTGAACCAATTAGTTTTAAAAAGGGGTAAAATATTACATTGTTTAGGTAGAAAATTATCTGCAATACATACAAAATACAAAAATACAAATACATATGTGGACAGGTTGTTTAAAATACAATGAACTTTTGATAAGTTATAAATGTCATGGAGATTAGACAGGCAATGGGTAAAAACTTGGTACATGTAAAATTTGGAAAGATAAGAATCTTCACTCAACTAAGCTAGAAAGCACATACTGACTGTAAGATAATTTGACTGAAACAAAATTATTTGAGCTTTGAAGTTTAATTGAAAAAGGCCAAACACTTGGGGGATGACATAAAAGAATTTACTAAATTATAGAAAAAAATTATTAGCTGTGCTAATAGGAGATGAGAAGTATGTAATGTCTCTCAGTGTTATGCTATATAAAATTTCAGTATCTAATGTAAAATAAATTCAACATATTCCAAAGGAAAGAATCTGTCTTTCTTCAGGCATTTTTTCCACTTCTTACTTGGAAGTGACTGTTTGAAAAAGATATATTGTAGTTAGAGCATAAACCTTTATCTAGAAAAGTTTAAACCTCATTGAGAACAAATGTTCAAAGTATTGGGAGTGGAAAAATGGCGGTGTTTGCTGAACCTAAACAATGATGAGGTTAAAAACTGCTGGATTTTTAGTGTAAGTGGGCAAAGCCTAAAGATAGTAATGCATAAAAATAGTAATGCATGAAACAAAAGGATGTGGTTAGAAGCATGTTATGTGGAGCATAGTTAAGAAATGCAGAGACAGCTTAGTGTTATGATTAAATCAGGGGGCTCTAGAGCATCTACCTGTGTTGTCACTCTGGTTCTGATGCTTATTACACAAGTAACTCATTGGAAAAGCTCTGTGCCTCAATTTCCCCATCAATAAAATGAAGATAATAATAATACTTACCTCTACAGATGTTTCAGGTTTAAATAAATTCTGTTATCCAAAACACTTACAAAGGACCTTTGAAAATATTTACACTTAGTAGATACTATTTATAAATATATGTACATTTATCTACTTTAATATTACAGGCAATAATATTAGACTGTAAATTGAATACGATGGCTACCAGATAACAGTATATTAGACAACGGGGCTCAACAATATAGTTACAGATGCTTTAAGACCTTTCTGTAATGTGCATAAATATATTTTTTCTTGAGTTTTATGTATTATATCAATATCAGACAAAGCCTTCTCTTTTCCAAACTTAACAACTGTCCTGATTAGAGCAAATAAAAAACTACTTATGCAAACATTCTCATGCCACAAAATTGACACAAGTTGTTTCTGAGGAAAGCATAACCTTAGAGATGACAAACTTGACTTGCAAATAATTATTGCAATACAGAAATATAATGAAGCAAGTAAATATATAAGTGTGCAGCAGAAGGAATGTAACTTGACCTCCAGAGAGGTTTCCCCCCGACACACAAAGTTTAATCATAGATTACTATTATAGATGTTGTGGATGAATTCTTTATCGCCCCACCACCAAACTCATATGTTAAATTTGTGCTCCCGGGACCTCAGAATGTGATTTTATTAGAAAACAGGGTCTTCAAAGATGTAGTTGGTTAAGATGAGGTCATTAGTGTAGGTCCTAATCCAATGACTGACGTCCTTATAAAAAGAGAAATTTGGACACAGGGAAACATATGTGAAGGTGAAGGCGGAGCGTGGAGTGACACATCTACAAGCCAAGGAATGCCAAAGAGTCCAGGAAGCCATCACAAGTTTGGCAAAAACATGGAGTAGATTTTTCTCACTGCCCTTAGAAGGACACAGCCCTACTGACACTTTGATTTTGGACTTCTGGCCTTTGGAACTATGTGACAACAAATTTTCCACCATTTAAGCCACCCAGGGTGTGGTATTTTGTTATAGGAGCCCTAGCAAATTAATACACTAGAAATTAAGGAGACATCAGTCTTGAATAGTTATTTTAACAGAATGTTATTATTTTTTTTTCGCTTTCAGGTAGTTAAATGTACTAGGTAATTATTAGATGTTTATTCCTGACAAAATATTGATGAGGTCAGGTTTTTTGGAAAGTCTAATAGACTATTTTTAATTATTTTAACATATGAACTAGCCCAAATAAGATATATCCGTATGTATATTTTACATAGTGGATTTCACTAAAATTTGTCTGATCAGCTTCTTCATGTTAATGAACTGTAGTTAATTATAAATGCTATTAAATCTTCATCTTATAAAAAAATAGACAGTTATAATTATGGATTGCATGCTCCATTTTATTTGATTGACAGCACTGAAGAAGTTTCATTTAGTGAATTATATTAAAAGCATACCACATACTTTCTTTAACTCAAATTACTTATATTTCTGAAGAAATCTTGTTTTCATAGATACTTAGGCAGTTTAGGGATTATCAATTTTGAATTTCTGAAGTAAAACATTATCTAGAGTCCCTTGGTTTTATAGGAAAGTATAAGAAGAACAATTTGAAAAAGTTTTCAAGCGCCTATCTTATTTTGCCAAAAAGTAGCAAGATTTGTCTTTTTAATTGCAAAGAAATGCAGCCTTACAGAATATGCTATTTTATCATTTCCTGTAAAAGGATAACTTTCACTGTGCCCTTCCTAGAACAGAACAAGGGGAAACATAAAAGATATGATGATCCAAAGTGTTAAATAGACTCACTTCCCTAATGAAATAAGCTTTTGTATTTTTTTAACTGAGTCTATAGGTTTTCACTAGAAGTTTCAATGGCACTTTTGTTACGATCTCCATCAATGTCTTCCAGAGCAGGATATGTGACCAGGGGATAGCATTATGGGAGGAAAATATTATAGCATTTAGTTATATATATTTTATCTTCAAAATAATGCCTACTATTAAAATAATAAGTTTTACTAATATTTCATATGTGGATTGACCCTGGAGCCTTCTATAGTGATTCTTATCAGACAAGTATGTATATCACATAAAACTGGCAAGGTTTTCTAAGCATGGAAGGTCGTCTAAAACATTGGAACAAATACTAAAAACATCCTTCTATTTTATTCATGTTTAGTTTGTGGTAGTGTGCTACAATTTTTATGCACCAGGTTAATATAGC
The DNA here is from genome assembly GCF_000001405.40 of Homo sapiens. Taxonomy (NCBI): domain Eukaryota; kingdom Metazoa; phylum Chordata; class Mammalia; order Primates; family Hominidae; genus Homo; species Homo sapiens. The sequence goes on along the minus strand of NC_000004.12, from coordinate 131,246,141 downwards.
TAATAGTTTATCTAAACAATTTTTTTTGCTTAAAATGAGTCTGGAAAAAAATACTATGAAATAAAATATCAATAATGCTACAAAAAATAAGCAAACACTCACCACCCACCAAGAAAAAAATATATTTTACTCAAAATTTTCCAAATTGTATGTACTTTTGTCAGTAACACTATAATATAAAAACGATAATGAATTTTTAGATGCTTAGATTGAAAATCTTAGACTGAAAAGCATCTAAAAATTTATCATTGTTTTTATGTTATAATATTACCAACAAAAGTACCTACAATAAATATAGTCTTTTCAAAATAATGTGTGTGCTTTTTTAAAACAAAGAAGTGTGAAAATATAGTAAAAATTGCAGAAATATAAAAATAGCTGAGAAAATTAAATAAATAATAACTTCCCTATATACCTCACTCTAACAACATGTTCCCTGATATCTCTGTTCTTCCTTTGATGTTTATCATTTCCATGAAGATTTTTATACTTTTTATTTTAAAAAGCATGTGGAAGGAGGAGGGTTAAATAAGCAGATCACAGAAGATATTTAGAGCAGTGAAAATACTTTGTATGACACTAAAATAATGGATATATATTGCACATTGTCCAAACCTATAGACTGTTCAACACCAAGAGTGAGTCCTAATGTAATCTGTGGACTCGAGGTGATACTAATGTGTCAATGCAGGTTGTTCAATTATAACAAATACACTACTCTTGTTGGGGATGTTAATAATGGGGGAAGCTATGCACATGTGGAGACTAGGGTTACATGGGCCATCTCTGTGCCTCTCTTAATTTTGCTGTGAACTAAAACTTCTCTACAAAAATACTTTAAAAATACATATAAGCTATTATATTAATGGTGTAATATCATATGTTTCCCTTATCAAGTAGCTTCGAAGATAATGTGGTTGTTCATATTAGACTTATCACAGTTTTTATAATACAACATGGTGAAAAATATAAAAATAATTATCATTTCCTTTTACAGTCACATAATATACCATTTTAAGAATGTGTGACAATTTACTTTTTTTCTCTGTTGATGGACACATTTTTTGGCAATTTTTTTCTGTTAGCAATAATGAGAATAAATTTTTATACATGCCTTCTTGCCAAAATTACAATATTTTCTCAAGTTTATTAACTTAATTATACATATTTACATGTCTATTACCTGTCTATAAAATAATAATAGTGGTATATATATATACATAAACTAATGATCATTATAACTATTTTGCAGATGTATGTGCAAATATTTTTATTGGGAGATATATGATGATAAGATATGGCCTAGATTAAGGGCTGAAAAGAACCATTCAAGCAGAAGTCTCCAAACCCTCTTGGTGTCAATGTCCTTAGTATCTCAGTAATCTTATCAAGGTGGAGTTAGAAGAAAAAAAAGTCTACCTAGCAGTTTCATTTATTAAACGATTAAATAGTTAAGCCCAAACAAATTAATAAGTATTTACAGATTATCAAAATTATTGACTATGTTGGGCACACAAAATTCTTAAAACTTTGGAATCAGATTGGGTACTGCTACTCTTATTTCCTGTTCTACATAGATTTTCATGTAGTCCTTGCTTTTTATTACAACAATCATTAGAAACTCAGATTTGCAAAAATTTAACTTAATATTGAAACTGTGAACGACTTTGAGCTGTAGCCCATAAGGTCCCCATGAAATGTCACTGTATTTTCTTAAAAATTTAAAACACTCTACTTTCCCCTGTAAACTTTCAGGATTGGCCAGATGTTTCAAGATACTGGGTACCTTTACTCTACATTATCAAGCTCTTAAGTTTCTGTGGTTGTACAAGAAGATATCGATAATAGTTGTTCTTCACTGAGGGTCTACTAGCTAACAGTTCTTTAGTACATTAATTTGAACTCTCACATCACCACTGCAAGATAGGAACTTTTGTTCTCACCCTTCTACAGAAAAAGAAATCAATGTGTTACCTAGCTAGTTACTACAGGATCTGGGTATTCAAAACAATAAATATCTGTCTTAAAGATGCTGCATTTCCTATGATACTATACCACATTTTAGAAAAACAGGGCTCTTCCAAGAGTATTTTGAGAAGACACAAGCAGCAAGAATTGCTGATGAGAACTTTTAACCAATACTAACCTATAATTAAAGGCCACATTTGAAGAATATAATTAACTGTTCTTTGGAGCTACCAGTTTCTTACCACTGTACCCATATGGCATCTTAAAGTGAGTGAGTACCAAATTCCGTTGCCTGCCTAATGGCTGATGAAGGTATAGAACAGACACCGGCATGTTTTTATGATCTCCTTCAATGAAATATAAAATAAATTGTCACTAGAAAGCTTTTTGCATTTAGGAATACGGGGTAAGATTTTAAGGCAAAGTAAATGATCTCCTGAAACTCCTTATTTATCATATTACTACTTTCTGTTGCTTATCATATTGCTTACAATATGATATATTGAGGATCACATAAGGAGGGTCCAATGGATTACAGTAATAATAGTGCCATTTTACTTTACTGAATACTAAATGCCTACTATGAAAATAAACTTTAATAATATTTTATATGCAGATTTATTCTGGATCCCTCAGTAAGTCTTCCTATCAGATAGGCACGCATCACATAGCATGGCAAGGTTTTCTAAGGGGATCATGGCTGAACATCCAAAATGTAAAGAAGAGTACCAAAAGCATCCTTGTATCTAATGTCTATGACAAGCAGTAAACTTGCATTATCCTATTACAAACGAACACATGCAGAATAAAATGGTATAGGCAATGTGATATACAAGGTCATGAAGCAAATAAATGGTAGACCCAAAACTCATAGCCATATTTTTCCATACCAAGCTTTATGACATTAAATATGCCACTACTCCTACATTAAATGTGCCAATACTCTCTGGTATTTTATGTTTTACCACCTCCTTTAATATACATTTATTTCCTCAGTAGATCTTAGATTGCTATTTTATTGAATAAATTATATATAAAGTGGGATAAATATTTTAATTGCTTTATGTACTTTGGTGATAATATCAACCACAAATATTTATATTCAAATGTATTCTTACTGCATGTAGGAGGATGCTTATAAGACATGCCAAGCTTGTAATTAAGAAATTAAAAAATATTTCATACTATTTTGATGATGTACAGACATAATTCCAGATATGTATATGTAGCTAAAACCTATGCTTATCATTGATATTATATTAATCCAGTCAGCCAAAAGAAGTAGTCACATTTATATCCAGGTAGAGAATGCTATGTAACTTTATAGCAATAAAATACTTTTTAAGCTTTATCTCTACTCTTTATTTTCATCATTTTTTAGAATAAACGGGTCTTGTTTCCCAATTCCTGACCAGCAATAACCCCTTTAAAAGTCTTCATTGGAGGTTCCTCAAGAATCTAGAACTAGAAATACCATTTGACCCAGCAACCCCATTACTGGTCGTATAACCAAAGGATTATAAATCATGCTGCTATAAAGACACATGCCCACGTACGTTTATTGCAGCACTATTCACAATAGCAAAGACTTGGAACCAACCCAAATGTCCATCAATGATAGACCGTATTAAGAAAATGTGGCACATATACACCGTGGAATACTATGCAGCCATAAAAAAGGATGAGTTCATGTCCTTTGCAGGGACATGGATGAAGCTGGAAACCATCATTCTCAGCAAACTACCATAAGATCAGAAAACCAAACACCACATGTTCTCACTCATAAGTGAGAGTTGAACAATGAGAACACATGGACACAGGGAGGGGAACATTACAGACTGGGGCCTGTTGCGGGGGTGGGGGTCTAGGGGAGGGATAACATTAGGAGAAATGCCTAATGTAGGCCGCGGGTTGGTGGGTTCAGCAAACCACCATGGCACGTCTATACCTATGTAACAAAACTGCAATTTCTGGCCGGTCATGGCGGCTCACGCCTGTAATACCAGCACTTTGGGAGGCCGAGGCGGGCAGATCAAGAGGTCAGGAGATTGAGACCATCTTGGCTAACACGGTGAAATCCCGTCTCTACTAAAAATACAAAAAATTAGCCAGGTGCGGTGGCGGGTGCCTGTAGTCCCAGCTACTCGGTAGGCTGAGGCAGGAGAATGGCGTGAACCCGGGAGGCGAGCTTTCAGTGAGCTGAGATCACGCCACTGCAGTCCAGCCTGGGCGAAAGAGCGAGACTCCATCTAAAAAAACAAACAAACAAAACAACAACAACAAAAAAAAAACTGCAAGTTCTGCACATGTAACCCAGAACTTAAAGTATAAAAATAAAAAATAAAAAAATAAAGAAATAAAAAGTCTTCAGTGGCCGGAAGCGGTGGCTCACGCTTGTAATCCCAGAACTTTGGGAGGCTGAGGCGGACGGATCACGAGGACAAGAGATCAAGACCATCCTGGCTAATATGGTGAAACCCCGTCTCTACTAAAAATACGAACAAAAATTAGCAGGGTGCAGTGGCGCGTGCCTGTAATCCCAGATATTCAGGAAGCTGAAGCAGGAGAATGGCTTGAACCCCGGAGGCGGAGCTTGCAGTGTGCGGAGATCGTGCCACTGCACTCCAGCCTGGCGACAGAGCGAGACTCAGTCTCAAAAACAAAAACAAAAACGAAAACAAAAAAAAAGGCTTCAGTGACTTTATAAAATAAAATTAATAATATTCATTTAGCCTTTGACACTCTTGACATAGTTTCAATTATAGATCTTCTCACTGTTCCATACATTTGTTTCCTAACCTCTAACCTCAAAACCAAGCATCAGAAAGTATAGGTAGCAACATTCTCTCCTGTATAATATACAAACATTTATCATAGGAAGAATGATTCTTTAGTTCATTTACTTGTAGATTTGCCTACTTTTTATCTATTAGATCTAAAATAAAGACTGAAGACTTTATCTTGTTTTTATTTACTATCCCAAAAGTAACAATAATAATGCAATAAAATGTTTGCTGAACTAAATAATTAAGAAAAACATTTCTGAAAAATTTGACATTATTATACACATCACCTCATAATTCTACCCTTCATTTATCCTGGGCCACTCCATTGTCTTGATTTCTTGACTAGCATGTTTATTATTCCTTTAGTAAACTCATTATCTTTTTCTATTCTTTTGATCAGATTGTCTTTAAAATTTTCTGATTTATTTCATCACTCTATAGATTCCTCTTTTTAGTAATCCTATCTGTATTTATTCATATAGCTTGATATACAATTTTAAGCTGAGTCCTTTTGTTTCTTTCCAGTAATCACAGTTTTCTTATTTTCTGAGGATTGCCATTGAAAAGAATCTCAGATTCTATTTCATCTCATTTATGTGATGAAAGACTAGGTTATTCTAAGCCTATCGTCAGGGAATAAAATGCTAAATACACACACACACACACATACACACACACACACACACAATTGTCTTGAAAGAAGTAAGCAGTGAAAAAATGTGGGGAGGGAAAAAGAAGGGCAACCAGGCAAAACTGAAAAGAGATCCTAGACCTAGAATGACATGAAAAATCTGAAAACAAAAGCCACTCTTACATGACATAACTTTCTGATACTGCACACTTAGATTTTATTTTCCTGGTTTTGTCAAGCTGGGGTTAGGAGACCAGTTAAGATGAGGAATCTTGAAAGATTTTTTTTTCTTTTTTTCCCCTACATCGACCCACATTTAGTAGGACTAAAACCGTGATGTGAGCAGGTCTAGAACTTAATCTTCATCCTACTGTCAGGGGTTGGAGAAATGTAGAGAAGAGTGGCTTGGACCCAAACAGAAAATGAGAAAAATTAAAGAAAAAGAAAACAACAACAGCAAAACTCTGAGAAATTTCAGCCACAGAATAAATATTCACAAAATTGGAAAAACAAAATAAAAATTCCACTGAACTAACAAAACTATGTGGAGACACAACTGGAATACAATGTGGATGAAGTCAAGTGATGAATCCTCTCCAATTCAAACACTATTGTAGCTACATTAGGAGAAAAAAAAGAATACTACCAGTACTGTCTGTGTTAGTCCATTTTCACACTGCTATAAATAACTACCTGAGACTGGGTAATTTATATAGAAAAGAGGTTTAATTGATGCGCACTTCCTCCTGGCTGGGGAAGCCTCAGGAAATTTAAAATCAAGGCACAAGTTGAAAGGGAACCAAGGAATGTTTTACATAGAGGCAGGAGAGAGAGAGAGTGAAGGGGGCAGCACCACACACTTTTAAACCATCAGATCTCATGAGAACTTACTATCACAAGAACAGCACACGGGAAGTCTGCCCCCTTAATTCAATCACCTCCGACCAGACCCCTCCTCTGACACTTGGAGATTACAATTTGAGACAAGATTTGGGTGGGGAGACAGAGCCAAACCGTATCACTACCCTAGAAGAACTACAGATTCAGTGCAATCCCTATCAAAATACTAAGGACATTCCCCACAGAAATAGAAAAAATAAAAACTGAAATTTGTATAGAACCACAAAAGATCTCCAATAGCTAAAGCAATCCTCAGTAAAAAAAAAATGAAACTGGAGGTATTACATTACCTGGCTTCAAAATATACTACAAAGCTGTAGTAATCAATACAGTATGGTACAGGTCTAAAAACAGAGACATAAACCAATGATACAGAATAAAGAACCCAGAAATAAATCCAACTGATTTTCGACAAATGTGTCCAGAATTTACATTAGAAAAAGGACAGCCTCTTCAATAAATTGTTTTTGAAAAACCTGTTACTATATGTAAAACAATGAATCTAGACCCCTATCTCTCACCATATACAAAAGTCAACTCAACATTAATGAAAGACTTAAATGTGAGACCTGAAACTATAAAACTACTAGAAAAAAACATAAAGAAAACTTTCCAGCACATTGGCCTTATGTCATGAGTGGAAGCTTCCTGAGGCCCTCACCAGGAGCAGATGCCAGTACCGTGCTTCCTGTACAGCTTGCGGAAGTTGTGAGCCAAAGTAAACCTTTTTTCTTTGTAAATTACCCAGTGTCAGGTATTCCTTTATAGCAATGCAAACAGACTACAACAACATCTTTATTAATTTTATTCTGCATATGCACAAGGAAGTGTTCTGTACCAGAAATAGGTTTATGATTAATTACTTCACAGTTAATAAGTGTCCTGGTACCCCCTGCCCCATTGCCTACTATTGGAATGGTGCACAGTGAACCATGTCAAATATTATATGTGAGCTGTAGAGCACTTCATATGTAAGGGTTGAAAGAAAATTATTTTTATTTTCAGTTTATAAAGGGGAGGGAGGCTGTTCTTTCTTCCACATCTAAAGAATCTCCTTGGAAACAAAAAACACTTAGTCCTTTTTGTCTGTAAATTCAATCCGTCCAGGAGACAGACTGCCTGTGTCCTGTTTAATATCTAGAGATATCTCCAGATGCTGGGATTTTATTTTATTTTTTGACATGTAAATACCTGAGGAAGCTCTCTAGTCTCCCTCATCCCCTGGGTCTTAACTTATCAAGACCTGTTCAGAGCTGTAACCATTTGGTTTTCTCAGAGGGTGAGGGACATTTTATTATCCCTTTAAATCAGTAGAGCAATTAACTAGGCAAATGGCTATAGATATAATTCTCCTAGTATCTGAAGAGTCTCAGAAGGCAAAGGCTTTGGCAGGAGCACTAAAAAATCTAGGGGAGGTTTATTTCCCCATGTTATGGAATTAAAAATTCAATAACCTTACAATCAAGTGTTGCTAAAGAATTAAACCATAGGTATACTTGGAAGGGTACTTCACGGTATATCTGCAAGTATGACATTATGCTATTGGTTGTAATAGCAAAACTAGAATTAAAAATTTCAAAAACATATTAAGAGAAAATACATAATTGAGTGTGCTTAAAAGTTTATTTTTTTAGGCCAGGTGTGAAGAATGGTGAGTCATCCCTATAATCCCAGCACTTTGGGAGGCTGAGGCAGGATGACTGCTTGAGAACAGGAGTTCAAGACCAGCCTGGGCAACATAGTGAAACCCAGTCTTTACATAAAATAAAAACAAAAATAAAAAATGAACTGGGCACAGTGGCACATGACTGTAGTCTCAGTTACTCGGGAAGCTGAGGTAGGAGGATTGCTTGAGCCAGGGAGGTATAGGCTGCAGTGAGCATGGTCACACCACTACACCCCAGTCTGGGTGACAAAGGGAGACTCTGCCTCCAAAATAAACAAATAAACATTAAAATAAACTTTTAAAAGTTGTTTTTTCTCTCTCTGTCTTTCTCTGTTCTACCCATTTGTTGTCTTGCCTTTAATAAGGAGAGAATAGTCTTTACTCTCCTTCTTTCTGCAAAAATGAGATAATCTTTGCTCTTCTTTTCACCAGGCACCCCTTTGCACAATGTTTCCCTTATCTAGTTGTGCGTTTGTTTAGAAGCTACAGAGACTAAATCTTGAAACAATTAAGGCCACTACAGGATTCTCCCCCACTTGAACATTACTTCAAGCCTGCAGTCACTTTGCAACCCAGCTGTACCCAAGATGGTGACAGCCCATTCATCCATGAGACAGCCCAAGGTAGCTGCTGAAACAAGTCACATAGACTGGCACCTCTTTATCACTCCTGCATGCCTATCATAGCAACCTCCCCTTACCCTTGACCCAAAAAGCTGAAATAATTTATTTAAGGCCAGAACCTGGACCATTTCTTCACTTCTAGCTATGGAATTGAAATCACTTTTCTTTCATCGCACTTTGTCCTGGTTTTTTGGTTTTGTAAGTGGTGAGTAGTTGAGCCTGCGATCTGTAACAAATGCATTTTTCTATATTTGACAGTTAATACATTACTAACTACAGATCTTCAAGGATGATACTAATTGTATTCTCCTCTAACAACTTGTCACCAGTAGAAGGTTTTGACCACAATTTGTCCAGGTTTTTGGTGTTTTGAACAAAGAATTGGACAAAACACACAAAGCAACCAAAGAATGAAGCAACGAAAACATAGATTTATTGAAAAAAAAAATGCACTCCAAAGATTGGGATTGGGCTGGTACAAGCAGCTCAAGATCACTGGCAAAATCTTCTGTGATTTAAGTACCCTCTACAGGTTTCCAATTAGATACTTGGTTATAATCTATGTATTAATAAATGGAGACTTGTCCTGCAACAAATCCGATTGGTTGTGAGAGTGTACGAATCAGATATATTTTGCATTTTTCATCTGCCATGCAGTGGAAAGGTGGGGGTTACAAAGAGAGTAGCCTCTGATCCTTTTGTTGCTTGGGCATGGAGGGGTGGGTCTTCCTTTTGATTCAGTTCTAGGAAGTCAGTGCAAAGCAGCCTTAGGTTCCCTGTCTGCCTCCAGGCTCTGTTCTCCTGCCTCAAGTTTTCTAGATCATCATGCCCCTTAATACCCACTCATTCTGACCTAAGACGAATAACCTTTCTTCTGAATTCTCACAAACTGTATCTCCTTTTGTGTTGTTTTTAAAGTATACTCATCATATGTGGGTTGATTTAGCTTTACTCTTAATTTCTGATATTGAGATGTTTCCTGATTTTATAAGTGCACCTCCTTTATATACATAATTCAGAGTTGAATTTTAAAATATAGCTAATGAGAAAACTGAACTGCTTCATCATCTTATTCCTTTAATCTTTTTCAATAAGATTTTTACCCTTTCTAACAGCAACTTCTATTTTATTCAATATCTTCAAAACTCAAATTAGTAATAGAAAACTTTGATGTTAGATTTCTTTTGACAGAAGTTGGCTTAGTATGAACTTATCTGAATACTTCTCATTGCATGCTGAAACACCATTTCATTTGCACTTTATTTTTATATATGACCTAAACAAGTTTCCCTGCAAGGACAGCACCCTGAGAGTGGCATTGATCTTTTATTTAATCCCAGCTTTTTAATTTTTGTCATTTTAGAAATGACAAACCTTTTTTTTAGCTTAGGAATGTTTCTTTGGTTCTTTTCATTGTGTATATGTTTGTCTGCTAAGATTTGACAGTTCCTTACTGAGACCTGAGATTTTTATCTGTTGAAACCGTGTTTCATTGAGAATAATTACAAGTTTATTAAGATGTTTGTTAGTGTCATCATCTTGTTTTTAATTTTGGATTCAATTAACATTCTTTGCACTTGAGATGCACACTTTTTCTTTCTTCATATTACAGTTAATTTTTTATTGTATTCATGATACTAAAATGTTACATTATGGGAATTCTGGGTTCTGTTATTTTTCTTTGGTGAGCATTTTTTCTTAATTTTAGCAAGAAATATTTGCCTGGGTTTAAATTACAGCTGAAATTCTCCAACGCTGCAACTGCTAAACATTAACAATCAATAAATTATGGACTCATGTGCTAAGCCAGCCACCTTCATCAATGATATTTCTTTCAAACCAATTTGTTTAGTGTATCCTTTGAGAAGTCCCCACTCCCCTTTCTCTCTTCTGAACCCTAGCTTCTAGTGGAATCTTTCTTCTGTATTGCAATTTCTGAGATCAGAGTAAATGCGTAGTCAAACGGCTTTGCAGGGTGGTTTTTTGCCTTTTCTTAGTCGACACCTCAAAGTGTGTATGCATACTCAGAGTCTCTTAGCTTCTATTAATTCTCCAGAATGTTCAGGTAGTTACTTTTTACATTATCTGAATGTTTTAAAGCTGCTTTTGGGTTTTGTTTTTGTTTTTACTGTAGATCTCATACCATCATCTTTTTGGTTCACCATATAATGAATCAGAAACAACTCCTGCTCTTCAGAAATCCAAAATGTTAGTTTTCAAAAATGAAATGCACTTTGCTAATGTATTTATAAATTGACAAAAATTTCTGAATCATTTTGTTATTCTTAAAATTATAGGTGATGATTGCTTACTACCAAGGATGATTATTATTGCAAGATTTTTTATTTAGTTGAAACAATACTTGTGCCCCAAAATACAGTATAATTTGTGATCAAATATTTATACAACTTTGAGGAAACAAGGATCTGAGTCTAATATTAGGATAAAATTATTTTCAATAGAAGGGTAATCAACCTTTTGTATAATTCTTTATCTTGAAAAATGAGGGTAACATTTTCTAATAGATTTATTTTAAATGAAATAACATCTGCAAATTACATAATACAGTTTCTGAAAAACATTAGGTATTTAAAAAGTAGATATTATTATTTCTTATTTCAGGGACTACCATTTGCTTCCAGAAAATAAAGCATATTTTTATTTAAATAATCATATAATATATGTAAAATAAATACCTACCAACATACTGTTGAGGTATTGAAAAGTGCCCTGTAGCTACTTTACATACTTAAAACAAAACACATTTTTTTGAATTATTAATAAGGGGAATATAAAATTCCACAATCCTAGTACATAAATGTATATTATAGAATATGTGAATATAGAATGCAGTGTCAAGAATCAAAGAATTATTGATTTTTAAATGAGACAGTTCCCTTAACCCCTTTGCAGGCCTCACAACATGGATGTGGCTCATTTGTTGGGCCACCACACTCTCAAACCCTTACAGGAGAGGGGGCACGCAGACGGACAGGTGCAGAAGTGGGGCAAGAGCTTCTGGGATCTAGCGCCATGGTAGCATCCAGTGGTGGGCTTCTGTAATTCCTGAAGCCCTGGTAGGCATGTTACAGTGCTCCTTTAGCTCTGTCATCTGCAGACAGCTTAAGTGTTAACCAGCTCAGTGCATTGTTGATACCCGGGACCTTGTCCTGCATCTAGGAAGAATCAGGTCACACACAGACTTAAAGGATGGTGAATGTGTAGATTTCATTGAGTGGTGGAGGTGGCTCTCAGTAGGATGGTTAAGGAGCTGGAAAAGGGATGGTGTGGAAAGATAATCTTCCCCTGGAGTTTGGCCATCCTGTGGCCAATCTCTTCTCCAACAATCCCCAGCTGAACTCCTCTCGACATTCAGATGCCCCTTCTCTTCTCTCCTTCTCTGCCGTGCCACTCTTCTTTTTCTCTGCTCTTCTGCTCATCTGCTCATGTAGCCTGGGTTTTGGGGTGTATATGGGTACAGGATAGAGGGGTGTGGAAGGCCAAAAGGCAAAATTTAGGAGCAAAAACAGGAATGCCTGTTCTCATTTAGGGCTGTGGGTTTCCAGGCTTGAGGGTGGTGCCTTTGCCAGGAAACCACCCTCTTCCACCCAGTATTTTCTTGCTTCCTGCCTGTATCAATTTGAAATAATAAATGGATATAGATGGGACTAATTAAGACAGAAGAAAATTATTTAAGTCTGTTTCCTAACTCCCAAGAGATTGATACTCTATTTAATGTTTTGGGAGAGGTCCATTGAAGTGGAGATAGAATTAGTGGGAAGGAGCTTGAGGAATTTATATAATTTGCGATCTTACGTATTTTATAGGCATTTTTTTCCCTATACCTTTCTTTCTGACCCAAAGTAATACAACTTTTATATTTGATACTTTGTTGGAAGAGGAGAACAGATGCTTTCCATTCTAACAGAATAATGTTCTACAAAAACAAACAAACCAAAATATAAGTATGCACATACTTTTCAACCTAACTACTAAGACATAAAATTCATTCTTATATTATGGATTTTATAATGATTTCTTTAAAAACTGAAAATGAATTGAGTATTTGTATAAAGATCACTACTAATACACAGCACTTAGTTCATGACTGTGCACAAAATCAATGCTAATGATGTATCACATCCTAAATGTATGAAAAATAATCTGTTTCTCTTGTCAGTAATCCCTAGCAAAAATGGGAGAGATTTCCTGATGATAAAATGAAGTGTCTTTGCTGGATGAGTTCAAGCGTTCTTTTGAATCTACAAATTCTCATATTGTTTTTGACTCTAAGTGCAAGTCATCATTGTTACTGGCACCAACCACAATATCTGACACAGTTTGTGCTTAATAAAATATTTACTAGAAGAATAATGATCAAATGTACACATATGTGTTTAAATTATGTATTTAAATTAAAGCATGAAGGTCAGAAAAATTATGAGAAGCTTTTTTTTCAAAAACCATGTATTTAAAACAAAAAAGAGTCAAATTTTGCCAGAATTTATTCTAATAAAATTAGGGAAGGAAAGACTAGAACATGCTTTCCAGAAACTGGTAAAATAATTTAAGGTTTCCTCCAAATCTGTGATCTCAATAATATTTCATTTGTAATCACAAGTCCTGATTTCATATAGTCTGTAGAATTCCCTATAACCCCTGATTTCCTGAAGATACAATAGAGCATTCAATTATTGATTTGCTGCTATGCAGAACACAGATTCCAAGTATACTACTAGCCCAGAGTGGGCAAGACTGAGGTCAGGGGTGAAGCTGGATAAAGATAATTGCTATTTGACTTAAAAGATTTTGTGGTATTCTCAAATCCATAAGTCAACAAGTCTCTCTTCCTACCCCACCATTAAACTAGGCACATCTTTCTGGTGTTAAGAGATACTCCATTATTAGAGAAAAATGTAAAAATATATTTGAAGCCAGAAACTTTAAACAAGATGATAGGTAAAGCATTAGTGACAGCTTTTCCTTCAGGGTAAATGGTTCACTTGATATCATTTGCTTACACATTTTCACTTGAATGATTTTGCTAAATGAATAATTTTGCATTAATACTCCGGGTTCACATTTGCAACCTGCCCTTTAGCAAAATTCATTAACAGTAGGGCTTAAAAATAAATAGAGCTTGAGTCTACAGTATCACCTCCCTGTTTTCTTTCAAATCCTTCTATAAGAGGGAAGATAAAACATGGTAAGCCATTAAAAACAATTTTGTGGAGACGAAATTGTAGCACTTCACATAATAGGAGATGTGATGATTTTAAATTTTGAAGAAAAATTTAAAAATGTCATCTACTATTCAATATCAGTGGACATTTTTGTAATTGGAATAAAATAAAATTAAGTGTTTTGAGATAATAATAAGAAAAGGTTTTCTCTGAAGGTGTTTTTCAGACAAAAGTTTCTGTTTATACCCTATATATCTATTAACTTATAAAATGACTTTTTGTAAGTACAAAGAGAAATGATATTGATCTGTTATTATTTGCATAAGCCATCACCATTGTCAGTTCTTTCTACAAAAATGTTCAGGAGAGTTAACTTAATTTTAGAATGCAGTGGATAATGACTACATTACATAATACACATAATACATAGTCATATTTATAGAGAAATTATCAAGGCTTATTTTTGGTAATATTGTATTCCTGTAATTTGTATTACTCACTGCCTTAGAAATTTCTTTCCTTACAGTATAGAGTGAAGTAAATCTAAACCAAAATTGGAATTTTATATATATGTGTGTGTGTGTGTGTGTGTGTGTGTGTGTATGAGGGTGAGAGAAGGAAAGAGGGCAGCAGACTTTATTCTTTATAAGGAAAATAATATCCTTCAGTAGAGGAAGGATATTGGCACTGCTAAAGGGGTGACGATATTTTGTTCCTTTCCTCCATATCCTTTTCTTTGTATTCTTGTACCTATATTTGTATGTATAGGACAATTTTTCTATGTGAGGCACATGGTATTTAAGCTTTTTATCAGATAAATGCTTGCTCACATCTATTTAAATAAACAGATACTAATTTTTAGTTTTCTTTATCACAATGATAAATACATATGGTAACCTAGGGAGTGACTGATGTAATCTATTTAGCTAAACTGTGGTTGATACAAAAAAAATAAAGAAGCTTTCTTTTGAATGTATTTTAGATTTAAAAGACAGAAAGCTTGAAAAATGCAGAGAAAGCATAAAAATCTAAGCAGTAAGATCAAATAAAATCTCATTTATCAACCTACACATACTAGCTTCTCTTTCCTAGAAAAATGAATTTTGTTATTTATTTTCCAAATCATATGTCTGTCTGAACCATTTAAATATTCCTATTATCTTTTAGCAATAATAAAGACAAAGACCATTAATACAAAAAAAGTCCTTTGGTAAACATTTCACAAAAGTTTATAAGGTGGTGAAAGTACCATAGTAAAAAGGAAATATCTGATATCATGAAAATATCAACCTCATCAAATATATGTATATTTTTCCAAGCTCCTTTTCCCTTTCCTATTTATCAGTTTCCCTCATATTACCATAGAATGGGCAAGCAGAAAGCAATTAAATTTATTTTTAATTGCCTTTGTATCCTCTAAAGGAACTAATGTAAACATTTACACAAGATAGATTCCCAATAAATATAACATTAAACCACAGGTGTGCACCACCATGCCCTGCTATTTTTTGTATTTTTAATAGAGACAGGGTTTTGCCATGTTTGCCAGGCTGGTCTCAAACTGGTGACTTCAAGTGATCTACCTGCCACAGCCTCCCAAATTGCTGGGATTATAGGCATGAGCCACTGCACCCAGCCCCTTACTTCATTTCTTAAACTACTCTCCTCCTCAAAGGTTTGTTTTCTGCTCTTTATGCATGTTGAGCGTTCTCCTAATTTACGACTTCGATCTGGCTTTTCCTTCTGTCTGATACACTTTTTCCTCTCCATTCTGCATAAAGCCGACATCTTATTAAAGTGTATGAACATTTTTTCCTAATGGTAATTGCCTTAAATAACATTTTTTAAATTGCAGCCTTGAGAAAATAAGTTGCAATCCCTTTAATTTTTTTAAATTTGATTTTTTAGAACACATAATTGTAAAACATACCAAATGACAGGTTACATTTAACCTTTATTGTCTTATGTGACTCACTGTCTTAGACTGTAAGCTCTGTGAGAACAGATATATTTTTTCTTGTGTTTGCTGTTATTATTATATGTTAAAAATAGTTTTAGCTATTACCCAAGGAGCCAAAACTATCTTTAACATATAATAATAATTGCTCAGTAAATATTTATTTAATGAATAAATAATACCCCCAAGTGATGCAGATAAATTATATCAATGAGCAAATATTAGTTTTTTTTAATGTATTCAGTTTGTGTTTATGTATGGTTATTATCCTTGACAGAGAATGTTACACAAGGCAGTAGACATATTCTTGTGTATATAACATACAAAGAAAAAGTCAAAAGAGCTTTTATTTCTCACAGTAATATATATAAATTTAACATAAAATAATTATACCAGATATTATAAATAAATTACAGGATTAGATTACATCTTTATACAATTAAAGAACACACAAAAAAGGTTTACTTTCTAAAACATAGTTAATGGTTTTTACCTAGTTTAAGTTAAATGACCTTACTTTTCAAAGAAAGGTTCTGTGTTCTGAATTTCATTAAAAATGCAGTTAAGCAAATTTAGCCATGTGTTAATGATGCATTTCCAGCATCAGTTGTTAGGAAATCATTCTTGCAAGATGAGGGTAGAAAACATATGCTGCTTCTTGTTTCAGCAAGGCTCTAACTTCACTGCAGCGACAGAATGTTATAACCTTGTAGAATTATTAGACACATTTCTTGTGAATGCACAGTAAAGACCATACTGTGGTATACAATGAAATAAAATAAAATGTTCCCAGGTGGGAGTCCAATGTTTTATGTTAAATAGTGCTAATGAGTTTGAAGAGATATAATGAATATATATTCAAGAAAAACAAAACTAAAGGCTAATTAGGCAAGAGTAACTATATGGCTAAAGAAAAAACGTCTTTTAGCAAAGTTTGTCTTCAATTGAAATAAAACTCTTAAAACTCAAGTATTTATTGTGTTTTTTAAGTTTTTGAATTCATGAAATAGAATAAAAATAAAATCTACCACAAAATTAAATTTTTAAAATACTTTCAATTGGAGATTGGAGAAAAAGCGTAAGAAACTGAAAACTGATTCATAGCTTTGAGATATTTTTGAAATGTTAGATTTTAGTTCTGTGAATTTTACAAAGCAGCCATCCTTGATTCTAACTCAAAGCAACCCAAAGAAATCCTGTTTTTTTCCCCGACAGTATTCTATCTGAATTATAAATTCCTTTTTTTTTATTAATACAAAATCACTATTATACATTTCACATAGACACAACTCATACATATAATCATCAATGGTGGTAAGAGAAAAGCAGCTCCTGTAAGGTCTCTAACATAGCCTAAAAATATATTTTCTTACCAATTTTGATCTCCCAATTTAAAAATCAAATCTGAAGTTTAGAGAGAATAACATTAAAACTACGGTTAATATGTGGTACAACATTTAAATATAAGGCTTGAGGTGAAGTGTCTCAGCAAATTAAGACCTTTTCAGACACAGAAGTAATTTACAAGAATCAATTCTGACTATGTAGTAGGGAGTTAAAGGCCTCTGAAGCTTTTAGATTGATAGGGAAAGTTTATGGTGGTGTCTCTCTAATATTCTGTTTTAGAGAAATATAATATTTCCATTTGTGATAGGAAAAGAAAGGTTCTTGAGGTTTTTCTCTAATATTCTATTTTTTTTCAAATGGGACTGCATTTCTGGTTTTTTGCTTTTTAGAGATTTAAACAGTAATAACCTTTGAACATGACAAAATAATGGAATGACTTTTAATTACACAGAAAACTGTATTGCCCACAGAGCCCAATACTTAAATAATGTAGGTGTTTTAATTCATTTTAAGAGCTATATGGGGTAGAGAAAAATTAAGTAGTAATAAGAAAGCATAAGGTCTTATCCATATTTAATGCTCTTTCTTTAAGATAACTAAGGTTATCTTAAAAAATGATAAAACAAAGAGAATGCCTTACCAATATCTAAAATAAAATGCCTGTAATACTTAATACTCCATTCAGAACTGAACATAGTGAGCAGTCCAGGCACATTCAGAACTCAACTTGCCTTCGACAGCTGGACAGCCCTCTCCAATCTACTGTGAATCCTAATTCTGGACTCTAAAGTTCTAAACCTTACTTGATATATACATACACACACACACACACACACACACACACACACACACACACAATCTGCTTTCAGGTTTTCCAAAATATATACATTAACAATATACTCATTCAAATACATGTATGTGAATATTTGATAATATGTATTCTTTAAGAGGGCATCTATTCCTTACCCCCGAAAAGCTCTATTCAGAATTCCATGAAAATATATAGTTATCTATTAAAAAAAACAAATAAAATTACATTGATTATCTGGATAACTATCAAAGAAGAATTATCAAACCTTTACAGTAGTTAGAGGTTTACAGCATTAAAAATTTGAAAAGAGAAATATGTAGGCTCTCACTATCTTTGCTGCCTGTAACAGAGTATTACTCAATCTTATTAAGTAGGTAGGAAGACTATTCAGCTTTTTCTGGGTGCCATTACCAATTCGAAGATGTTAATTTTGTACCCTAGAAAAAGAAATACATCTACTACATACTGCTAGGTAGTCCAGGCCATGTTTTCCATTGCTACATGAAATGTAATTATCCTTACCTCGTTTTTATCCTTAACCAATTGTATCGATAGCGACATTTTTTTGTCCATTCAACTTGAAATGAAAATATAAAAGCATAGAATACATTTGATTAGGGCAACGAGAAGGATTATATGAAAAACAAGTTAATAACATCAGATAAGTAATTGTAAGAAACTAACTAAATAAAATGGCATACACATATTTCCCATTGGAGGCAGGACAAACAAATTGAGGTTGTAGAAAACTCAAATGAATAAAATAGTAAAAATCTCAAATGAGTGAAATAAAGACTAATTTGAGAAAAGTTTTCTCCAAATTAAACAGGGAAAAACACTGATAGGAAAGATTAGGAAAACAACAAAAAAGACCAAATGTAAGATACAGCTTTTCTCATGCAATTTATTGAAAAAAAAAAAAAAAAAGCTTTCTTTCCATACTCCACTTTGCTAAAATTTTAAGTTAAAAAATAAAGTAGAAAAGATTTTAAGCATTCAAGATTTAAAAATATTAAAGATTTCCCATAAATGAACACAAAGTAGGTAGGCTTTTGCAGATTTTACTTTAAAATTTAGATCTGAAATAATGACACCATTACTCAAGAATTTTTAAATTTCTATTCGGGTGATACAAGAATTATACTGTTTGTTAAAAATATAAAAATAAACACTACAATAGATGTAAGTAAACACTTTAATTTTCTATTTATTCCAACTTTCTGGACTATTTCCTCAATTTTTATTCTGTTTTTTGCATTAGAAAATAGAATTGCATTTTTAAAATTTTAATTTTTTTTTTAGTTTTCTTCTCCACATTTTGAATTTTTAGAAGCATTATTCTATCAATTCCACCAGTATTTCTTTGGTAAGCCATCAAACAGAAAATCTCAATTTTGTTCACCATGTAAATGATTTGGTTTTCTGTAATAGCTACTCTATATTTGACTATTGCTAGTGTATATATATTTTAATCTGGTATAAAATTCTTTGTTCTTCATATTCTTTTTCTCAGGCAGATTACTTAAAAAATAAAATTTAAGACTAATACAAGTTTATATGTTTTCAACTCTTTGCATAGGAAAACATTAAACACATTCAAAATTAGAGAAGATACTAAAATGAATTTGTGCATACCATTTATCTAGTGTCAACAAATATCTATTCATGGTTAATCACGTTTCTTATGTGATTCTACCTAAATTCTCCAACTCCAAATTATTTTAACACGAATCCCAGACATCTTATTATATAGCTTTAAATATTTCCACAGTTTTCTCTGAATGATAGATACTCTTATTTACCATATCATCACAATATCATTAAACATCTAATATAAATTAACAATTTATTAATATCATCTCCACTTGATTTTAAATATCCATGATTGTGTCTTTATTTTGTGCATAATTTAATCATATGTTTGTTTTTTAAACAAATTTACTAAGATAAATGCCCCTTGTCAATGGTCAATAATCCTTTCTTACATGTTGCCATATTTAGTTTGCTAGTATTTTTTTGATGACTTAAAGTTTATAAATGACATTGGTCTGTTCTCCCTTTCTTCTAATGACCTTGATGTTGGTATTTTGATAATATTTGCCTTATAAAATAAACTGGGATGTACTTCTATTTTCAAAAATTTTCTGGATGAGTTTGTGAAAAATTGATAGTAATTTTTTAAATTTTTGAGGAATTCACCAGCAAAGCCATCTTGGTCTGGGATTTTACTTGTATAAAGTTTTTAAATGGCTAATTTAATCTTTTTACTTGTTATAGGTCTACTGATACTTTCTAATATTCAATTGTTTATAATATTCCTTTACAGTCTTTTTTATTTCTGTTTGGTCAGTTTTGATGTATCCTCTTTCATTCTTACTGTTAGTAATCTGTCTTCTCTTTTCTCTTCTTTGGTCAATGTAGATATTTGTCAGATTTTCTTACTTTTTAAAAATAATCAGTGTGTTTGTTGATTCTTCTTTATAGTTTTTTATTCTATATTTCAATAATCCACTCTAATCTTTATTATTATGTTTTCTTTTGTTTGCTTTGTGTTAGTTTGCTCTTCTCTTTCCAGTGTGTTAAAGTTGTAGGTTAGGTTGACTTGGGATTTGTCATAGATTTAAAATTTAGGTGTTTACAACTACAAATTAGACTCTAAGGAATGCTTTAGCTGCATCCCATAATTTTTGGTATGTGTATCTTCATTTTCATTTTCTATTTTCCCATTTGGTTTCTTCTTTAACCTATTATTTAGAAGCAGGATGATTAATTTTCATGTATTTGTCAATTTTCCAAATCTCTTTATATTGTTGATTTCTAAGTCTATATCATTATGTCTGGAGAGCTTTGTATGATTTCAATCATTTTAAATTCTTTGAGACTTGTTTAATAGCCTAGCATGTGGTCTAATCTGTTAAATGCTCCATGTGCACTTGAGAAGAACATGTTTTCTGATGTTGTTTAGTGGCATGTTATACATATGTTTGTTAAGTCTAGTTGGTTCATAGTATTAAGTCTTCTATAAATTTTCTTATTTAACTTCTGCCTTGTTCTTCTTGTTCTATTCATTATTAAAAGTTGGTTAGTAAATTTTTTTAATCCTATTGTTGAACTTCTCCATAACTAATCATTTATATTTACATGCATCACTCACATATAGTTCATCTACATTTATCCATTGATTATATCTATATCTATATCATCTACATTGGTTTATTTGAATCTAGATTCAACAATGTCCATACATTGCAATTCACTAGTATATTTTCAGAATTCGATTTAATGCATAGGTGTTCCAACCCCTCTTTTTGCAATTTATTTGTTAGAGAAACTGGTCACTAGCTCTGTAAAGTTCACAGAATCTAGAGTTTTGAACATTGCATCCTATGACGTCTTTAATTGTTTTCCATTCACCATATTTTTTTTGTAAACTTAGTAACTGCTCTACAAGTTTTAATAGTTTTAGTTATAAATATTTCCTACATAATTTTTCAAATTTCTGATAATTGAATCTTTCTGTAATGTTAGCAATTTGTGATATTTATTGCCTGGATTCATTAATTATTATGGGTTGCAAGTTGAGGGATATTTTATTTATTTTTTCTATGAATTAGTTGAAATATTTCTACAAAAAGAAGCTTCCAATAATAAATATTTGGTTACCCCAAGAAACAATGTTAATGAAGAAGGCAAAACAGCTATTTGATTTTGTCACTTTATCAGTTCTTTTAATTGACTTCATTCCCTAGTTTTCTCAAAGATTTTGCCCTTCTCCCCCTAAATTAGGTTCATTATTAAAAAGGTACTAAATGAATTTTATATATTTCAGTCCACTGTGGTTATTATCCTTTATTGATGCTTAAATTATCAAATCGTTGATTAGTGGGAACCCCTGAATTATTTTGACATGACCATAGTATATTTTGTTAGCTTCTCTGATTTCCAAAATGCCAAAAATGTCCATGAATATCTTCTATATGTATCTCCCCAAAGTTAAAATCACCCAATTTCTTAAAGGATTAAGGTTATTTTCATTATATTTTATATAGGGACATCATTGTTTATACTAACATACTGAGCTATTTATTTTCTAAGACATTTCAGTTGACAAAGCTAGGACTCACACACGTATATGTCTAAATATATGTGTGTTTAGATGTATGTCTATGTATATAAACACACACGTGTATGTATAGTTAGTTAATTTTTTAATTAGAAGAAATTTCATACTGATACTGTCAGGGGTTTTGCTTCAATGCATGGATCTAGATATTTTGCCTATATATTTTTTTTTCCATGCTTGAAATTCAAGCTCTCAGTGACACCAACATCATTAAACATTTACTTACACAATAATATGTCCAACAGTCTCAGAATAACTTTGCCAACACTATGAACAATAAGATTAATAATTTACTAAAAAGGGTTTAAGATTTTATGCTTTGTTGTTATTTGTCATATTCCATTAGGAATGTAAGTAATAACACTAAGTTTATAAGTCATTTGATTCAATTTGTCTAAAAAATATTCTCTTTAGCTATTTTAATTTTACTGGCCAAGATCTAATGTGGAATTCTATACAGTGTTGTCAATGCTAATAAGTCTTTTATTCTGAAACAATTGCATCCCCTTCCTTAGTAACGTTTGACTTTGAACATTTTGTCAGTTAGAAGCCATTTCATTTTAAAAAATGTTCTTATTTTGCATGATATGATGTTTCCTTATGATTAAATTCTGAGTTTGCATTTTGGCAAGAATAATACAAAAATTAGATGGTTTTCTTTTCAGCAATTTTTTTTAGCATGCAGCACTGGTGATGATTTGTTGAATATTGTTGATATCAAGTTTAATCATCTAGTTAAAATATTGCCTGCCAAAATTCCACATATGAAAATGCCATCCGGGCATGGTGGCTCACACCTGTAATCCCAGCATTTTGGGAAGTGGAGGTGAGTGGATCACTTGAGGCCAGGAGTTCGAGACCAGCCTGGCCAATGTGGCAAAACCCCATCTCTACTAAAAATACAAAAAAATTAGCTGGGCATAGTGGCACTTGCCTGTAATCCCAATTACTGGGGAGGATGAGACAGGAGAATTGCTTGAACCTGGGAGGCTGAGGTTTCAGTGAGCCAAGATCACACCACTGTACTACAGCCTGAGTGACAGAGCAAGACCCAGTCTCACAAAAAAATTTTTAAAAAGCCATTTTTTCTCTTAATTTCTCCTTTATTCATTTATTCATATCTGTGTCCACTTAAGTATTTTCCTTTATTCATAGTATTCTAATCCATATTATCATGATTTATATTTATATATAATGTATAGTGTATATATGCATACACATATATATGTATGTTTATACTTTAGGTGAGAAGAATCTACTTCCAATTGACTCTTGTGTCTTTTTGATAAGACTCATCACTCTTCAAAAACTTTCTCTTTTTTTTTTAGAATAAAATTCAGTCCATCTTGCATATTTCCTACTTCTAGCCTGAAAGCAGACTTTACTGAAAAAAAAAGCTGGATGTTTTCAGCTTTGGTTTCTAGATCTGGGAGGTACATGCTTATTGTTACTGGTGTCATCCCTCATAAGCTTTCTGGCCTCTGATTAAAATGTGACCTACATGTACATACTCATATAACTGTCTGTATATATTTATCTAACTCTGTTATCTATTCTTTATCCTTTCATCTATCTATAATTATCTAACTTTAATTGAAGTCCATCCCCAATGGGTGCATTCTAGTCTTTCACCTTTGATATTGGGCATTCCTTTCTCCATCAGTGAGAAACTAAGTTCTCCTTATCATAAATATCTTTACTTATTTGTTGATGCCTATAATACATAGTAGTTTTGACTTCCTCTTTACGTATTTGAATGCCTTTTATTTCTTTCTCTTGCCTCATTGCTCTGGATAGGACTTCCAGTACTGAAAATGGAGTGATGAGAGTGGGCATCCTTGTCTTGTTTCAATTCTTCAGGGGAATGCTTTCAGCTTTTGACCATTCAATATGATGTTGGCTGTGGGTTTGTTGTAGATAATTCTTATTTTGAAGGCATGTTTCTTTGATGCCTAGTTTGTTGAGTGTTTTTATGATGAAAGGATGTTGAATTTTATAAAAAATGTTTTCTACATCTACTGAGATGATCATATGACTTATTTCTAACTATGTTTTCATGGTGAATCACATTTACTGGTGTGTATGCTGAACCAACCTTGCATCCCAGGAATAAAGCCCACTTGATCATGGTGAATTAACTTTTTGATGTGTTGATGGATCAATACCTAGAAAACCCTAAAGAGTTTTCCAAAAAGCTCTTAGACCTGAAAAATAATGTCGGTAATAATTCAGGACACAAAATCAATGTA
This sequence comes from Homo sapiens, assembly GCF_000001405.40. NCBI lineage: Eukaryota > Metazoa > Chordata > Mammalia > Primates > Hominidae > Homo > Homo sapiens. The sequence continues at coordinate 131,221,897 of NC_000004.12, read as the reverse complement.
CAAAATTTAGTAGCATTTCTATACACAAAAAACATTCAAGCTGAGAGCCAAATCAAGAGGCTAATTCTGTTTACAATAGCCACACACACTCACACACACACAAGTACCTGGGAACATACATAAGGAGATAAAAAAGCTCTACAAGGAGAACTACAAAACACTGTTGAAAGAAATCATAGATGACACAAATGGAAAAACATTCCATGTTCATGGATTGGGAGATCCAACATTGTTAAAATAGACCTATGGTCCAAAGCAATCTACAGATTCAGTTTCATTCCTATCAAATTACCAACATCATTTTAACAGAATTAGGAAAAAAAACTATTCTAAAATTGACACGAAACCAAAACAAGAGCCCAAATAGCCAAAGCAACTCTAAGCAAAAAGAACAAAACCATACATTACCCAAATTCAAACTATACCACATCACATTACTCAACTTCAAACTATACTGCAAGGCTACAATAAGTAAAACAGCTAGATAATGGTACAAAAATAAGCACATAGACCAAAGGAACAGAATAGAGAACCCAGAAATAAAGCAGCATGCCTACAATCAAGTGATATTTGACAAAGTTGACAAAAATAAGCAATGGAGAAAGGACTCCCTATTCAATAATTGATGCTGGGATAACAGGCTAGCCATATGCCAAAGAAAGAAACTGGACCTATCACCATATATAAAAATTAACCCAAGATAAAATAAATACTTAAATATGAGATCTCAAACTATAAAAACCCTGATAGAAAACCCAAGAAACACCCTTCTGAACATCAGCCTTGGCAATAAATTTCTAACCAAGTCCTCAAAAGCAATTTCAACAAAACCAGAAATTGACAAGTGGGACCTAATTAAACTAAACAACCTGCACAGCAAAAGAAACTATCGATGGAGTAAACAGACAACCTATAGAATGAGAGAAAATATTCGTACACCATTTTACTGACAAAGGACTAATATCAAGAATCTAGGCTGAGTGAGGTGGCTCACACCTGTAATCCCAGCACTTTTGGAGGCTGAGGCAGGCAGATCATGAGGTCAGGAGATCAAGACCATCCTGGCTAACATGGTGAAACCCCATCATTACTAAAAATAAAAAAACAAAAATTAGCCTGAGGTGGTGGCATGCACCTGTAGTCACAGCTACTCAGGAGGCTGAGGCAGGAGAATTGCTTGAACCAAGGAGGCAGAGGTTGCAGTGAGCCAAGATTGTGCCACTGTACTCCAGTCTGGGTGACAGAGCAAGACTCCATGTCAAAAAAAAAGAAAAATATAAAACCCTAAATATGGTAAGGAAAAACTGGTACCAGCCACTGCAAACACAAATAAAAATGTAAAGACCATTGACACTGTGAAGAAACTGCATCAACAAATGGAAAAAACAATCAGCTAGCATCATAATGACAGGATCAAATTCAAACAAGACAATATTAACCTTAAATTTAAATGGGCTAAATGCCCCAATTAAAAGGCACAGACTGGCAAATTGGATAAAGAGTTAAGACCCATCAGTGTGCTGTATTCAGGAGACCCATCTCATGTGCAAAGACACACATAGCCTCAAATTAAAGGGATGGAAGAATATTTACCAAGCAAATGGAAAGCAAAAAAAAAAAAAAAAAAAAAAAAAAAAAAAGCAGGAGTTGCAATCCTAGTCTCTGATAAAACAGACCTTAAGCCAACAAAGATCAAAAAAGACAAAGAAGGGCATTATATATGGCAAAGAAATCAATGCAACAAGAAGAGCTAACTATCCTAAATATATATGCACCCAATACAGGAGCACCCAGATTCAGAAAGCAAGTTTTTAGAAACCTACAAAGAGACTTAGACTCCCACACAATAATAGTGGGAGATTTTAACACCCCACTGTCGATATTAGACAGAACAACAAGACAGAAAATTAACAAGAATATTCAAGACTTGAACTCAGCTCTGGACCAAGTGAACGTAATAGACATCTACAGAACTCTCCACCCCAAATCAACAGAATATACATTGTTCTCAGCACCACATCACACTTGTTCTAAAATCAAAAACATAATTGGAAGTAAAACACTCTTCAGCAAATGCAAAAGAACAGAAATCATAACAAACAGTTTCTAAGACCACAGGGCAACAAAATTGGAACTCAGGATTAAGAAACTCACTCAAAATCACACAACTACATGGAAACTGAACAACTTGCTCCTGAATGACTACTGGTTAATAACGAAATTAAGGCAGAAATAAATAAGTTCTTTGAAACCAATGAGAACAAAGACACAACGTACCAGAATTTCTGGAACACAGCTACAGCAGTGTGTAGAGGGAAATTTATAGCACTAAATGACCACAGGAGAAAGCAGGAAAGATCTAAAATCAACACCCTAACATCACATTTAAGAGAACTAGAGGAGTAAGAGCAAACAAATTCAAAAGCTAAAAGAAGACAAGAAATAACTAAGATTAGGGCAGAACTGAAGGAGATAGACACACAAAAAACCCTTCAAAAAATCAAAATCCAGGAGTTGTTTTTTTTTAAAGATTAACAAAATAGATAGACTACTAGCCAGACTAAGAAGAAGAAAAGACAGAAGAATCAAATAGACAATAAAAAATGATAAAGTTGGATATCAACACTGATCCCACAGAAATACAAACTACCATCAGAGAATACTATAAACACCTATATGCAAATAAACGAGAAAATCTAGAAGAAATGGATAAATTCCTGGAAGCATACACCCTCCCAAGACTAAACCAGGAAAAACTTGAATCCCTGAACACACCAATAATAAGTCCTTAAATTAAGGCCGTAATTAATAGCCTACCAACCAAAAAAAAGTCCAGGACCAAACAGATTCACAGCCAAATTCTACCAGAGAGACAAAGAGGATCTGGTACCATTCCTACTAAAGCTATTCTTAAAAACAGAAAAAGAGGGACTCCTCCCTAACAAATTCTATGAGGTCAGCATGATCCTGATACAAAAACCTGGCAGAGATACAACAAAAAAAGAAAATTTCAGGCCAACATCTCTGATGAACATCAATGCAAAGATCCTCAATAAAATACTGCCAAAAGGAGTCCAGCAGCATATTAAAAAGCTTCTCCACCATGATCAAGTCGGCTTCATCCCTGGGATGCAAAGCTGTTTCAACATATGCAAATCAATAAACATAATCCATCACATAAACAGAACCAATGACAAAAACCACATGATTATCTCAATAGATGCAGAAAAGGCCTTCAATAAAATTCAACACCCTTCATACTAAAATCTCTCAACAAACTAGGTATTGATGGAACATATCTCAAAATGATAAGAGCTATTTATAACAAACCCACAGCCAATATCATACTGAATGGGTAAAAGCTGGAAGCATTCCCTTTGAAAACCTGCACAAGACAAGAATGCCCTCTCTCACCACTCCTATTCAACGTAGTATTGGAAGTTCTGGCCAGGGTAATCAGGCAAGAGAAAAAAATAAACCATATTCAAATAGAAAGAAGGGAAGTCAAATTATCTCTGTTTGCAGATGACATGATTGTATATTAAGAATACCCCATCGGCTCAGCCCAAAAACTCCATAAGCTGATAAGCAACTTCAGCAAAGTCTCAGGATACAAAATCAATGTGCAAAAATCACAAGTGTTCCTATACACCAATGATAGGCAAACAGAGAGCGAAATCATGAGCAAAATCCCATTCACAATTGCTTCAAAGAGAATAAAATACCTGGGAATACAACTTACAAGGGATGTGAAGGACCTCTTCAAGGAGAACTACAAACCACTGCTCAAGGAAATAAGAGAAGACATAAACAAATGGAAAAACATTCCATGCTCATGGATAGGGACAATCAATATGGTGAAAATGGTCATACTGCCCAAAGTAATTTACAGACTCAATGCTATCCCCATTGAACTACCATTTACTTTCTTCATAGAATTAGAAAAAAAAAAAAAACTACTTTAAATTTAATATGGAACCAAAAAAGAGACTGTATGGGCAAGACAATACTAAGCCAACAGAACAAAGCTGGGGGCATCACGCTACCTGACTTCAACTATAGTACAAGGCTACAGCAACCAAAAAAGCATGGCAGATATATAGAACAATACAGATCTATACCAAAACAGATATATAGATCAATGGAACAGAACAGAGACCTCAGAAATAACACCACACATCTAGAACCATCTGATCTTTGATGAACCTGACTAAAACAAGCAATGAGGAAAGGATTCCCTATTTAACAAATGGTGTTGAGAAAATTGGCTAGCCATATGCAGAAAACGCAAACTGGACCTGTTCCTTACACCTTATACAAAAATCAACGCAAGATGAATTAGAGATTTAAATGTAAGACCTAAAACCATAAAAACCCTAGGAGAAAACCAAGGCCATACCATTCAGGACACAGGCATGGGCAAAGACTTCATGACTAAAACATGAAAAGCAATGCCAACAAAGGCCAAAATTGACAAATGGGATCAATTTAAACTAATTAGCTACTACACAGCAAAAGAAACTGTCATCAGAGTTAACAGGCAACCTACAGAATGGGAGAAAATTTTTGCAATCTATCCATCCAACAAAGGGCTAATATCCAGAATCTATAAGAAACTTAAACAAATTTACAAAGAAAAAAAACCATCAAAAAGTGGGCAAAGGATATAAACAGACAATTCTCAAAAGAAAACATTTACACGGACAAAAAACATTTGAAAAAAAGCTCATCATCACTAGTCGTTAGAGAAATGCAAGTGAAAACCACAATGAGATACTGTCTTTTGCCAGTTAGAATGGCGATCATTATAAAGTCAGGAAACAACAGATGCTGGAGACGATGTGGAGAAATAGGAATGCTTTTCCACTGTTGGTGGGAGTGTAAATTAGTTCAACCATTGTGGAAGACAGTGTAGCCATTCCTCAAGGATCTAGAACCAGAAATGCCATTTGATCCAGCAATCCCATTGCTGGGTATATACCCAAAGGATTATAAATAATTCTACTACAAAGACACATGCACACGTATGTTTATTGCAGCACTATTCACAATAGCAAAGACTTGAAACCAGCCCAAATGCCCCTCAATGTTAGCCTGGATAAACAAAATGTGACACATATACACCATGGAATACTATGCAGCCATGATAAACAATGAATTCATGTCCTTTGCAAGGACATGGATGAAGCTGGAAAACATCATTCTTAGCAAACTAACACATGAACAGAAAAACAAACACCACATGTTCACATTCATAAGTGGGAGTTGAACAATGAGAACACATGGGCACAGGGAAGGGAACATCACACACAAGGGCCTGTTGGGGTTGGGGGACAAGGGGAGGGATAGCATTAGGAGAAATACCTAATGTAGATGATGGGTTGATGGGTGCAGCAAACCACCATGGTACGTGTATACCTATGTAACAAGCCTGTATGTTCTGTACAGTATCTCAGAACTTAAAGTATAATACAAAATTAATTTTTAAAAATTATGTGTTTTTTTTTTGTTTTAAGGTCTTGCTTCACCCTGGACTATAATTTTTATGACAAGGATTTAGTTTCAATATTATTAGTATACTTGCAAAACTAAATAAAGTTCCTGAAATAGTATTCCTTCAATAAAATTTGATTAAAGAGACAATTACTCAAAAATAATTTTGTTTATTCTATCAGTAATAGAAAGTGCACATTTTATTTTAAGAAACATCAATTGTGTTACATGTGGCCAGCAATTTTAGTATTTAGAACTATAAAAGCTTATATAAAATTGAATGTTTCTTACACGGAATACAATTTAAATGCTAAATAACTGTTAAAAAGCATAGATTATTGATATTTTCTTGGTACATATTGCCAGTTGCCAATATAATTATTTTCTAGAATAAATTATTATTTTAATATTGTTGCTAATGAAAAAATCATAAACATTTACTTTCTTTATTATTTAATTATGTTCTCTAATTTCAAAAATATGACATTCTGCAAGAGATGTCTTGCAAATAAATTCTTTCAGTCCAGGACATCACTAAAGGACTAAGATTTTAAAAATACAAACAAACAAAAACACTCTAATACACTGAGTTTCTAATTCCTGAGTATATGAATTTACAATAACATTAAGAAAAAAAGAGGCTTTTTAAATCTGTCATAGAGGGGAGGCTATGCATATGTAAGGACAAACGGTTTGGGGAAAATCCCTGTACCTTGTGTTCAATATTGTTATGAACCTAAAACTGCTTTTAAAAATAAAGTCTAGAATAATTATTGGGGAATTATTTAAAAAGGTAATCAATAAGCAATCTGTAGTTAAAAAATAACTATCAGAAACTTAGGCAAGACAAACCATAAGATGGCATTCATTATGTTTCTTTAGAAGTGCCCTTCTTTGATTTGGCCTCAGTAGGCCTAGTCTATTCAACAACTTTCTCTTACACGATATTTTTACAGATACACTGCAGGTGTATAATATCTGTTAGGAGTGATGGTTACAGAGGAAATCTCTCTTAATTGAAGTTCTTGTCTGTTTTGTTTAACCTAATTTAACAAAATAGGTACCAAACAAATGTTAACATAACAAAAAATGTGTATTTTGGATGTCGACTTGGACATTTTTATGGGGCAATACTCTTTTTACGGAAATACTCTATTATTTAAGAATTTTGAAATTAGTTGTTAGCCAGTAAGCATAGCATAGGCCACAACATTTAGGGCAAATAAAATTAAATTGCAGAAAATTATAATTTTTAATATTTGAATGTATTCTAATATTAAAAATATATACACACATGTATATATACACATATGTGTGTGCATATATATTTATATATGTGTGTATATACACATATGTTGATACATATGTGTATATACACATGTATAAACACATATGTGTATAGACATGTGTGTACATGTGTGTATTTATGTGTAAATATATGTGTATATTTATATATCATATATAACACATTATATAAAATATATTTATATATACCTAAATTATATAATATAATATAAATATATATATATAAATATATAAAATTAGCCAGGTGTGGTAGTGCACACCTATGTCCTAGCTGCTTAGGAAGCTGAGGTGGGAGCCTCCCTTGAGCTCCGGAGTTCGAGGCTGCAGTGAGCCACAGTTGGATCACTTCACTTCAACCTTGGTGACAGAGCAGGACTCTGTCTCAAAAAGAAAAACAAAAAAAAACTGTTAAAATATGAACACTAGAAACTTCACCTTATTAACATTTAAATATGAGTTATGTATTTCAATTACAATAGTATCTAACTGAAATTAGAAAACCTCAGATTCTCACTGGAAGAAGATAAAACATTAAATTAGCTATGGTACCAAATGAAGCCTGAAAGCCGAATGACATTAATTTCAGCACACTGTATACTAAATGTCTATACTTCCTAGAAAAGCAAATAAATTGACCCACATATAGCAAATATGAATAAAAATTAATTTATATTCAAAAACAATCAACCATCATATGAACATGTCAATAATATGTAACAGTTGAACTGCATTGTCAGGGAATAACATCCTCCAGACAAAGAGAGTAGAAGAGAAGTAAAAATAGTGAAGCCTTTTGAAATTATGAAAATCTTTGAAAATACTTGCCAGTTAAACTCAGAGGTTTATTATAATTTGATTCTATATATTCATAAAGTATAATTCATAATTGTATAATTTCAAACTTGAGTGGCTAGAAAACAATTATAATGAAAAGCAATAGACAGTTCAAACAGATAAGAGTGGAAGGATTTTCTTTGAGGTGAAAATGAGTTTTCTTTTAGATATACAGAACTGGAAAAGTTGTGAAAAAATATTATAAAGACAGCTTAAAGAGTCAGTTAGATAGAAACCAAAATATTACCTTTTTAATTGGTAAAGATTTTTGGAGAAGGTCAAAGCTAGATAGATGTGTGAATAAGTGTGCTGCAAATATTTCACCCTAAAACTAGACATGCTTGCTCAGCCATTGGAGAATAAATGTGAAGAAGCAAAGCTGTTATCCATTTTTATCATGTTGTTTTTTGTTTTTTGTTTTTTTTTTTTTGAGGTGGACTCTCACTCTGTCGCCCAGGCTAGAGTGCAGTGGCGCCATCTCGGCTCACTCCAACCTCCCCTTCCCGGGTTCAAGCGATTCTCCTGCCTCAGCCTCCCGAGTAGCTGAGACTAAAGGGGCCACCATGCCCGGCTAATCTTTTGTATTTTTAGTAGAGATGGAGCTTCACCATGTTAGCCAGGATAACCTCGATCTCCTGACCTCGTGATCCGCCTGCCTTGGCCTCCCAAAGTGCTGAGATTACAGGCGTGAGTCACCGCGGCCAGCTTTTATCATGACTTTTAAGGCAATACCTCCTCGGGAGAGAAAGCAGCTGACCCAGTCTAATCCTGCTTATAATTGAATAACCAGATACATAGGCTACAGTAATTATATTAGCTAGTTAGAAAGTTTTTATCTATGCACATCTCATAGTAGGATTTCCCTGGTTTAATAGTACTAACAGAAACAGTTCACAACGTGTAGGTTTAGGACACATGGGTCTCTGGAAAATGTGACACAAGCACTGAAACAGTCTTGTTATAAAATGGCGGTTTTCTAACATAGATGATCACCATATGAGATGGCCCAAAACCTTATCTAGAATCTGTAACTCTTACTCTGTGACAGAGAACATGTGTCTTATATGAGAAGTGAGTACCTAAAGAATCAGACAGGATATCCCAGGTCTGGCTGTGCTTTACCTATGCTACTTAGTTGCTTATATCATTAAAATTATTAGTAAAGCTTAATACTGGCAAGATCTTTGATTTAGAGAGTTGATTTGGCAATCTGATTGACGGTAGTAGCTCAGATGTGCGCCATGAACAATAATTTCTTTCGGCCAGGATGCAGCTTCCTATTCATATTTGGTATAACGTGGCAAAAGTTTTGAGGCAAATTCTGGGGAATAAATCTCAGCAATGGATTTTGAAGTATATGGCATTATACCCAAGGGGTCTGGATAAATGTATAAGAGGGAGTATAAGGATAAAGAAATGTTCAAAAATTATTTTATTCCCTGGATGTTGCTAGCAGCTTTGGAAGAATCCAGTCCTTAGAAAGAGGATAAGATTGTAGAAGTAGGTAAAAGCTGCTAATTCTTATTTTTAAGAAATATATCAATGTATGGTCTGCTTATACATTTTTGATTACCTGGAGAGATGTCCAATTCTTTCACAGAATAATTGAAGTAAAGCCACTACCTAAAAGGCTATATAGGTCACTGAAGCCCCAGGTCAAATTATTACTAAGTGCAAAGGACGTCTTATTAAAGAACTCAAACATTTTAAAGAGAAATACTAACAGAAGTATTAGGCGAATTGTCAATGGAATGATTTCTTAGAATTAATAATTATGAGACCTCACTAACTTTAGATACTGCTGAGTAGAAGGGATAACTTAAACCTACTACTGATTAATCTTAGTTTTGGAAGTGAAAAATACCCATTTTTCATTTTATTATTGTTTAATACACTTGTGATCTAAGTCTGTTACGTGGTAGAATTTCTCTAATTTTCAACTGGTCATGGGTCAGCTACACTGGGGTGGGGGGCTTCAGAAGACCCTAAAGAATTTTCAAATGTCCTTCTACATAGAAAACCAGAATTCTTGAAATATATTTAAAAGTACATTCATATGACACACTCACACCCACATACAAATATATTGAAGAATAAAATCTGAAAATCTTTTGCATAGCAAATTGAAAGATTTTTGTCATGTAAAAACATCTTATTTCAAAGCTATGATGAAGTAAATATTTCAAAACAAGGCTTTTTGATACTGCATTTAAAAGTCTTTCCAAAAATACTATAAAAGCAAATGATCTTTACAAGACTATAATAATCTAAAAATAGTAAATAGTGTTGTCTCAGTGGTTGTAGGATTTTTTATTATTTTTAATTAAAAAATTAATGAGTATAATAAAAAGAAAACTTAAGGTTTCTGCTCCATGTGGATATTTTGAATGTAGAGGTTTTTCAACATTGAATAATTTATTCTCTTTATATCATTAAGAGACATTAATTTTTATTTTAATATTGTTTTGTTCTCCATGTAAACATACAATATTTATTATCAGACTCAATGCAAATAAGCGTAATAATTTAAAGTTTTATCTTTGGTTTTGTTGACAGCTGATTTTAGGGTTGTCTAGATAAAGCAAATTGACTTCATTTGGGAAATGTCTTTTTAAGAATATGCATGAACCTCACTGTTTTGCTATTTATTAAAAAAATGAAAACAGTTGTATGCTTTTAAGATTAAAAATGTGAAACATGCTTATTTTAAAAAATGCTTATAAAATGTGATTGAAATACAATTGAAAAGAAAAAATTACCTCTTATCCTAATTCCAAGTCATAAGTGCTGTAAACATTTATAAATAATATGTATTATTTAAAATTTGCAACACAATTACACATACACACACAAATACACTCACATATTAAAATGATCATGTATACTTCTTTATTAGATTTTTTTTCATGACAGCAGTTTTATTCAATACCCAGTGGTGTGTTGTTGACTACAAATGTTCTTATGATTTCTATGTAGGTAATATATCATTGTATAGCTTGTATACCATTTTGATTCAAGCATAAAAGGTAAGTTTTTAAAAATATTTTCCTACTATCACTTATTTTATTGTATTATATTATTATAAGATCATAATTATTGGAATTTTTCTATTTAGTCTGAAAACAAAAGCATTGTTTTTTGCTCTATTGTTTTTCAAACTCTACTTCCTTCTGGAATCTTCTAATGAAGGTAAAAGTATATCACCAATATGATTATTGTTATTGTTATTTATTCCTACAATTGTAGATATATGTACAATTTTATCTTTCTGTCTATTAGGAAATTTCTTTAGTCTTGATTTTAAATAAATTCATTATATTAGGTTTCCAAGGTTTTACATTTTCATCAGTTTTCCCTGGTATATTGTGAGTCCCTCAAGTCTTAACCATGTAGTCTCTCGGATGCATAAATTCAAACCTTCCTTCTTTTATATACCTACTATGTTTTTGTCTTTTCGTTTTTTTTCATTTTTATCATGCTTTATATATTGAAGTGCTTAACTTATCTAATATCTAATTTTATTATATTTTGTGTGATCATTTACAATTAATTATAATTTTCCCCTTGATTCTAGGTAATTCCTTTTCTTTTATTTATTATTATTATTATACTTTAAGTTTTAGGGTACATGTGCACAATGTGCAGGTTAGTTGCATATGTATACACGTGCCATGCTGGAGCGCTGTACCCACTAACTCGTCATCTAGCTTTAGTTATATCTCCCAGTGCTATCCCTCCCCCCTCCCCCCACCCCACAACAGTCCCCAGAATGTCATGTTCCCCTTCCTGTGTCCATGTGTTCTCATTGTTCAGTTCCCACCTATGAGTGAGAATATGCAGTGTTTGGTTTTTTGTTCTTGCGATAGTTTACTGAGAATGATGATATCCATTTTCATCCATGTCCCTACAAAGGACATGAACTCATCGTTTTTTATGGCTGCAGAGTATTCCATGGTGTATATGTGCCACATTTTCTTAATCCAGTCTATCATTGTTGGACATTTGGGTTGGTTCCAAGTCTTTGCTATTGTGAATAATGCCGCAATAAACATACGTGTGCATGTGTCTTTATAGCAGCATGATTTATAGTCCTTTGGGTATATACCCAGTAATGGGATGGCTGGGTCAAATGGTATTTCTAGTTCTAGATCCCTGAGGAATCACCACACTGACTTCCACAATGGTTGAACTAGTTTACAGTCCCACCAACAGTGTAAAAGTGTTCCTATTTCTCCACATCCTCTCCAGCACCTGTTGTTTCCTGACTTTTTAATGATTGTCATTCTAACTGGTGTGAGATGATATCTCATTGTGGTTTTGATTTGCATTTCTCTGATGGCCAGTGATGGTGAGCATTTTTTCATGTGTTTTTTGGCTGCATAAATGTCTTCTTTTGAGAAGTGTCTGTTCATGTCAAGGGATCAGGGCATTCCTTTTCCTAGTCAAAGAAAGGGGTGACAGACGGCACCTGGAAAATCACCTGGTCACTCCCACCCGAATACTGTGCTTTTCCGAGGGCCTTAAAAAACGGCGGCACCAGGAGATTATATCCGGCACCTGGCTCGGAGGGTCCTACGCCCACGGAGTCTCGCTGATTGCTAGCACAGCAGTCTGAGATCAAACTGCAAGGCGGCAGCGAGGCTGGGGGAGGGGCCCCCGCCATTGCCCAGGCTTGCTTAGGTAAACAAAGCAGCCAGGAAGCTCCAACTGGGTGGAGCCCACCACAGCTCAAGGAGGCCTGCCTGCCTCTGTAGGCTCCACCTCTGGGGGCAGGGCACAGACAAACAAAAAGACAGCAGTAACCTCTGCAGACTTAAATGTCCCTGTCTGACAGCTTTGAAGAAAGCAGTGGTTCTCCCAGCAGGCAGCTGGAGATCTGAGAACGGGCAGACTGCCTCCTCAAGTGGGTCCCTGACCCGTGACCCCCGAGCAGCCTAACTGGGAGGCACCCCCCAGCAGGGGCAGACTGACACTTCACATGGCCGGGTACTCCAACAGACCTGCAGCTGAGGGTCCTCTCTGTTAGAAGGAAAACTAACAAACAGAAAGGACATCCACACCAAAAACCTATCTGTACATCACCATCATCAAAGACCAAAAGTAGATAAAACCACAAAGATGGGGAAAAAACAGAGCAGAAAAACTGGAAACTCTAAAAAGCAGAGCGCCTCTCCTCCTCCAGAGGAACGCAGTTCCTCACCAGCAATGGAACAAACCTGGAGGGAGAATGACTTTGACGAGCTGAGAGAAGAAGGCTTCAGGCGATCAAATTACTCCGAGCTACTGGAGGAAATTCAAACCAAAGGCAAAGAAGTTGAAAACTTTGAAAAAAATTTAGAAGAATGTATAACTAGAATAATCAATACAGAGAAGTGCCTAAAGGAGCTGATGGAGCTAAAAACCAAGGCTCGAGAACTACGTGAAGAATGCAGAAGCCTCAGGAGCCGATGCGATCAACTGGAAGAAAGGGTATCAGCGATGGAAGATGAAGTGAATGAAATGAAGCGAGAAGGGAAGTTTAGAGAAAAAAGAATAAAAAGAAGTGAGCAAAGCCTCCAAGAAATATGGGACTATGAGAAAAGACCAAATCTACGTCTGATTGGTGTACCTGAAAGTGACGGGGAGAATGGAACCATGTTGGAAAACACTCTGCAGGATATTATCCAGGTAATTCCTTTTCAAATTTATACATTCGATTATTGTTCTGTCCATGCTGCCAAAATATATCGAATGTTAATAATGTGCTAAGTTTCACAAAGTAGGTTTTGTGGAAAAAAGCTATTGTATTTTTTTAATTTTCAAGTCTATTGATATATATATAATTCTATGAAATACACTAACAATATTTTATATGTAATATAATATCACATATTATGACAGTTCTCCCTAAGCAAAATATATTTAAACAAAAATGACTATACATAGAAATTCATATTTAGATTAAGGAGACAAAAATAGCCTGCCTGAGAAAATGTCATTTACAAAATTGAAAACTAGAAATCAGGTAGGCACTGGGTAGTAAAGAGAGTATTTCAGGAAGAGGAGGGTTTGTGAGAAGAACTTAAGTTGTAAAATATCATTATTGGTCCAAATTTTTGAAAGAAGCTAAAGTAATTGAAGTTAAACACACTTTGAGGTTGAAGACATTTTGTTCATGCTGCAAACATATATTAAATATTTATGATATGCACGCCATTGTTATAATGTTAGCAGCAGTGAATTTGTACAGGTCTGCAGCAAAGTTAATTCTTGCCTCCTTGAAGGAAAGAATTCATCCAAGCAGCACAAAGAAGAGTAAGGGTTTATTAAAATGTTTTAGAGCAGGAATGAAAGGAAGTTAAGTACACCTGGAAAAGGGCCAAGCAGACAACTTGAGAGATCCAAGTGTGCTGTCTGACCCTTGACTTGGGGTTGGTATGGTTCCAGAGTTTGCTTTATCTTGGGTTGCCCGCATGCACAGTGTGTTTACTGAAGTTGTGCACGTGCTCATTTGACACGTTTTCCCTTACCGCTCAAGTGTTCCAAGAGAAAGGTCATACACCTGTTAAACACCGTTTGACCTCTTAGTGCACTCTGGAGCCCACTCGGCTAACTCCTGAGATCTTATCAGGAAGCTGCTGATCATTAGCTTCAGATGTTCTCTATCTATTGGGAAACTGTCCTGCCCTGGTGCTGGCAGCAACCAATTTTTATTTTAGAAAGACAGTGTAGCAACTGTCTGACCATAACCTTATGGTCACCACACATTCCTGGTTGGGGCAGAGGGCCCTCTCCTTCCCTGCTGATGTCTGCCTAAGTACCTACTCTAACAATATCGGTTATCATTAAAATTTGCCAAGCATCAATCTAAACTCATCACATGTGTTAATTCTTCAGTGTGCAAATACTCCTAAAGCACAGGTATCTTCTCTTAACAAAAGAGAAAATTTAGGGATTAAGCAGTTGAGTGACGCGTTTAAGGCCGTGCATGGGGGGAATGACAAAGATACATTTCAATGCTGTTATTCTAGCTATTAAGTTTTCATAACCAATATACTATTCTGCCAGTCACAAATTTCATATTTTAATCTATGGGCAATGGGAACCATGGAAAGATTTAATGTTTTGGAATATAAACTTTATTCCAAAATATCACAACCGGCTGTCTTGTGCAAAATGACATGGAAATCAGCAAGAATGGAAGTGGGGAAATAAATTAGTAAGCTACTGTTGTACTTTAGATATAATTAATATTGGCTTTGTTTAGGGCAGTAGTAGTTTTGATGGAGACAATTGTATACTGGGCAATTCATTAAAGGATTTGTGTCAGCCTAAAGACTGCTAGTAAAAAACAAAACAAAACCAAAAGAGAAAGAGAAATAGAAAAGGGGGGCATTTTATTGAAATGGAGGAAAGTGGAGAAGATATAGAGTATAAAAAAACAAAAGATATGTCAGGAAAATGTTTAAATGGAGATGCCTCAAATGTCCAAATATTTTACTGTTACGTAAGCTCAGGTTTAAGAAGAAATGGTAATTATTAAAATGGGAATTAATGAAATTAGCTACAAGAAGCAATGTAACATACATTTAGGTATAAAACAGTATTTAGAAAACATTATTTGGATCCTAAGTCTATTCATTGATACTAGAATCTCACTCCTTTCTTCTTGCCTTTCTCACAGATACAGATGATGTTTATCTATCTGCTTTAGACATATCTTTTATAAACTACATATTTATTTTATACTGATATTTTATACATATATACACACAATAAAAGAGTAGGTATTTTTATGTCTCTAACTGTGTCTCTTCATATATATATATATGCCTACACACTAAAAACATGTTTATTGTGATACTGCCAGTCCAATCCAACACTCAGGGTTTATTCTTTATTTCCCCTTTTCAATATTTGTAACTCTATTCTCTGATAGTAAGAAAACTGGCACTAACTATTCATATTATATTTAGGTATATGCTCAGTCTAGAATATATCTGAAATAATTTCTGTACTGCAAATCCATACCACTTTGAAACACAATACCATTATCTTGGATTCAATGTTTGTTTATAGTTCTTTATTTTTTACTTTTGTCTTTGGCTTGATTGTATGTAGTCAAAATCCTGGACTCCAGATTTATTAGGTTTTCTGTTGGCTTTTTATTTTGTTTTTCATTTAAGGTGCTTATCTTAGTTATTTGAGATACACAGAAATTCATTGCTTCTGTTAGTATCCTTTGTTGATTTGTTTGTGAATATGCAAAAAGTTAACATGGTTTCAGAAAGTAGAACTATAGGGAAAGTTTATTCAAAGAAGTGTCCCTCTTTAATTCTTCCATCCCATTACCACACACTTTCTTTTCATTTTATTTCCAGCTCCTCTGTATAAACAATCTCATTATTTGCTATCTTATTTCAAGATTAGAAAAGGAAATAACAGAATAACTTGGTCATTTATTATGTCAGAAAGTAAGTTAGCCCATAGAATAAAATAAAAGTTCATAAATTCCTACTGGTTTGAGCAAATAAACATATACAGGAGAAGGAGAACCATCTCTTCCATAGAGTATAATTTTAGTGAATAAATGTGGAAGACATTGAGGGATCAAGAACAATCACCATACTGCAATAATAAAAATAATTATTTTAATTAAGAATTAGTAGGTGAGACTAGTGAGTGAAAGCTAGACGAGAAATAAAATATTTAGAGAATTGCCAAATGTCCTACAAGAGGTACTTATTAATTATACTTGGCAAAATATTATTTGATCTGTAAATTGGATTATAGTGTTGTATTAGCTCCTATTTCACGATTTTAATAATTATTTATTATTTACTATTATAATTTTTTAATTTTAGATTTAATGCAAAAATAATTTAAGTAGCTATGAATTAAAATAATAATTCAATAAAATATGCACTTACTGACTAAAACGTAATATATGGTGTGCATATAAAATATTGTTGATGTCAAGGAGCACTTGAGAGAATATGCATAAATAAAACTATATTGCATAGTGTAATAAAAAACATATGAAAAAGTGCAATAGGAATTCAATGTTTATTTTATTTTATTTAGTGGAGAAAGAAAGACAGTTCTGCTATAATGTGAGTAACAGATTTCTCTAAATTCTGAATGATTGTCTGAATCATGTCACCGTAATGCTCATGTCATTTTCATCTCCAAATGGCTCAATGTGACCTTTTCATCCTTACATTTCAAAATAAGCCTAGGTGCCATACCAACAGGATATTAAAGATATTCAAGTAATTAGAGGTGTGGGAAATTAAAAATATAATGAAGGGATGTGAGTGAAAATGTAAAAACTGACACACTTTCATTGCCATGTTTTTCCTAAACCCCCAATACAAAGAGATTTTAAAATTATACTGAATTATTAGGCTTTTGGAAAATGTCCATGGTACAGATCTTTGTTTATATATCAACAGAAACATACTAGCTAGGTAGAGCAGTTTAGAGTCAAATTAAACAATCTCTGTTACCCTTTGTCACATTTTTATTGGCATGTACAGGTTTAGGTTTGCCATCTAAAAAGTAAAATATCTATATTCATTTCCTCTTAAATAATTTGCTTGCGTATTTGAATATGGCACCACTGGATAAATGACAACATCTTCCTATGGACTCCTGGTGAAAAATGCCAAACGTTATTATTATTATTATTATTATGTTATTTATTTTTTTGAGATGGAGTTTCACTCTTGTTGCCCAGGCTGGAGTACAGAGGTGGGATCTCGGCTCACTGCAACCTCTGCCTTCCACATTCAAGCAATTCTCCTGCCTCAGCCTCCCGAGTAACTGGGATTACAGGCGCCCGTCACCACACCCAGCTAATTTTATTATTATTATTATTATTTTTAGTAGAGACAGGATTTTATCATGTCGCCTGGCTGCTCTTCAACACCTGACCTCAGGTGATCCACCCGCCTCGGCCTCCCATAGCTGGGATTACAGGTGTGAGCCACTGTGTCCAGCCCAAATGTTACTATTATGTTATCATTTCATGTATAAAATGTGATTATGCCTTAGAAAAACTAATAACAAAAATATTAAAGAAACATGGAAAAAGGTGCATGCATTAAGTCTAACATAGTGCAGTTAACAAATACCAAGTTACTGGATTTTTTTCGTTTTTGTTTTTTCGTAGTCCTTTACATTCTCTCATTGATTCTTCCCAGTTTTAAAAAATAGAATGTAATTTTTGGCCCAGTTCTTCTATAATCAGGTTCTGAGAGAGAGACTCACTTACAGGAAGTTTATTAGTGAGTGTGCCTGAGAACAACATTTGTAAAAGATTAAAGAAATCCTGGATTGGGCGTAATGAAGAGTTGAACAACAATGAAGTTGTTAATAAAGACTCAGTCTATCCAATGGGGATCTCTGGAGCTGGTATGGGTTTTTAAAGTTGCCTAGAATTGAGTCAAGGGAAATACCTTTTGCATTATTCTATTGACCAGTCAGTGGATGAATGATAGTCACAAGAAAGGATTTAAAAGTGCGTGGCCAAAAGCAATGCATGAGAAGGGACTCAGCCATGAGCAGTCAGCAGTGGGGGCAATGAGTGCTTTAATTTTACAATCAGAATCTTGAAGTCCTATTTAATTTTGCTCTTAAATTGTAATTCTAAATAAAAGAACATCTTAAGCATAATAAAACAATATGCCTTGTTGATATTTTTGTTAACAATTTTCTTTCCACTTTGAAACAAATTAGAGCCCATAAACAAGGTAAAAGCAAAAGCACAGCAGGGATTCTGTGAAACATATGATCTATTTAGGTACCATTCTTTACTTCTTGTTGTGTTTCCAGTTTCAGAGCTTTGGGGATGTTGCTTCTCATTGCAGGGCTGCCAAACATGGTTGACTATTATGTTTGTAATTTGTGAGCAACAGCTGCTATTTCATTTTTCAATGTTGGGGGTCTAAATAGATCACATAATAAACCTTAGAATAAAAGAAGCACTCATTTTACAACCATCCAATCTGTGCCTGTGCAGATGGCACTATCCTTTCTTTTCTGAAAAACATTTTTTTCTTGTTCCTAATATTTCTGTTTGCCTTTGTTATACTGCACTTTCAATATAGTGTTCACAATTTCATAAACTTCTTGACTTTACTGAAACTTGATTAACTCTCTTCCTCCTTGAAAACACAGCATATTTTGTTATACCATTCCTCCCTGCCTCAGAAGAAGAGGCATTATTACATTTTTCAAGCAGTAAAACAGTCATCATTCCTTTCCTCTAATATGCTCCCTTTGATTTTGCTTTTAACAATTATTCCAGCTCTCTCATATCTCAAAAGCATCAATCAGATACCATCTTTCCTCTTATATGCAATAATGGTTAACTCCCCTCCACCCATGACAATGACTTAAAAGTCATTTCTTATCATCATTGCAGGATACTGGTCAATTAATTTTCTTGCTTTGATTGTGAAATTCCCAGTAAATAGAATTCTCACTTGATATGTATTTTAACTCACTCAGTAACACTCAATGCAACCAAACATAAGTAATTATATTTCATTTCCCTAAAACTATTTTCTCAAGTCTATTCAAATAATATTTCTTACCTTATTTGAAAGGTGAATTGAAAACTCGCCCAGGAATAAGGTACTCATTACATCAGGAGGAAGCCCCTTTAGCACTTATTAAGCCATAGTATACCTTTCCCTAAGTTTAGTTTGTGCTCCAATGACCTGTGGGGAAGTATATCAACTAAGATTATTTTTACCCACTTTTCTTGACAAGGGACCATTTTCTTATATCATATTGATTGTTTTTAAACCAGATAAGCACCTTAGATAATTCTACTAATTTTATGAGCCAATCTCTCTGTAACGCTTTTTTGCCATTCGTATTAATTCAATTTTATATATTGAACTAGACCACAGTATTTTCATCTTGGCACTATTAACATTTTAGGCTAGATAAGTTTTTTTGAAACCATCCTATGTACAGTATGATATTTCACAGCAGTATCTTTGACCTCTATCTACTGTATGATATTTCACAGCAGTATCTTTGACCTCTATCTACTGTATGATATTTCACAGCAGTATCTTTGACCTCTATCTACTGTAGGATATTTCACAGCAGTATCTTTGACCTCTATCTACTGTATGATATTTCACAGCAGTATCTTTGACCTCTATCTACTGTATGATATTTCACAGCAGTATCTTTGACCTCTATCTACTGTAGGATATTTCACAGCAGTATCTTTGACCTCTATCTACTGTATGATATTTCACAGCAGTATCTTTGACCTCTATCTACTGTATGATATTTCACAGCAGTATCTTTGACCTCTATCTACTGTAGGATATTTCACAGCAGTATCTTTGACCTCTATCTACTGTAGGATATTTCACAGCAGTATCTTTGACCTCTATCTACTGTAGGATATTTCACAGCAGTATCTTTGACCTCTATCTACTGTAGGATATTTCACAGCAGTATCTTTGACCTCTATCTACTGTAGGATATTTCACAGCAGTATCTTTGACCTCTATCTACTGTAGGATATTTCACAGCAGTATCTTTGACCTCTATCTACTGTAGGATATTTCACAGCAGTATCTTTGACCTCTATCTACTGTAGGATATTTCACAGCAGTATCTTTGACCTCTATCTACTGTAGGATATTTCACAGCAGTATCTTTGACCTCTATCTACTGTAGGATATTTCACAGCAGTATCTTTGACCTCTATCTACTGTAGGATATTTCACAGCAGTATCTTTGACCTCTATCTACTGTAGGATATTTCACAGCAGTATCTTTGACCTCTATCTACTGTAGGATATTTCACAGCAGTATCTTTGACCTCTATCTACTGTAGGATATTTCACAGCAGTATCTTTGACCTCTATCTACTAAATGACAGATTTAGCACACCTCCTCCAAGCTGTGATAAAAATGTCTCCAGACGTTGCAACCTGTCCCCTGAGAAGCAAAATTGTTTGTGGGAACCACTACAGAGATGAATAAAGAGAGGTTATAGAATTCAGAAGAAGTCATATGCAATAATGTTAGTAGTTTTAGAGCACATGCTATATGACGATTAATACTGTTACACATTTACGCATTTAATTGCATTAAATATGATCTTTACAGAAAACACTGTGTTATATGTATTATAATCCTCATCTAACACTTAGGAAACTGAGATGTAGAATGATTATTTAGCTTACCTCCCAAAAACTTGAAAACTATACATCTGACATGTGGTTAATATCCAAAATATATAAGGAACACAAACAACTCAATAGCAAAAACAAATAACCTGATTTTACAATGTGCAAAATACCTGAAATGATATTTCTTTAAGTAAGATATACAAATGGCCAAGAGGTATATTAAAAAAATGTTTAGCATCACTAATCCATCAGGGAAATACAAACCAAAACCACAATGAGATATCACCTTACCCCAGGTAAAATGGCCATTACCAAAAAGACAAAAGATGACAAGTGTTTATAACGATGCAGAGAAAGAGAATCCTTGCACACTGTTGGTGAGAATGTAAATTAGTACAGCCATTATGGAAAATAAGAAGATTCCTCAGAAAATTAAAATTAAAAATTAAAAATAGAATTATTGGCCTGGCGTGTTGGCTCACACCTGCACTTTGGGAGGCCGAGGCAGGCGTATCACAAGGTCAGGAGTTTGAGATCAGCCTGGCCAATATGGTGAAACCTCATCTCTACTAAAAAATACAAAATTTAGCTAGGCGTGGTGGTGTGCGCCTGTAGTCCCAGCTACTCGGGAGGCTGGGGCAGGAGAATCACTTGAACCCAGGAGGCAGAGGTTTCAGTGAGCTGAGATTGCACCACTGCACTCCAGCCTGGACAACAGAGTGAGACTCCATCTAAAAAAAAAAAAATAGAACTATCACATGATCCAGCAATCCCATTTCTGGGTATATATCTAAAGGAATTGAAACCTGTATGTCAAAGGCATACCTGCACCCCCTACATTTATCATAGCACCATTCACAAAAGCCAATAGCATGTGAAATCAACCTAAATGTCCCTTGATGGATTAATGGATAGAGAAAATATGGTATATACACCTAATGGAATATTATTCATCCTTAAAATAAATGAAATCCTGCCATTTTCAATACCATGAATGAACCTGGAGGATGTAATGTTAAGTAAAATAAGCCAGGCACAGAAAGACAACTATTCCATGATCTCATTTATACGTGGAATATTAAAAAATTGGTCTCAACGACTTAGAGCCAGGAGCAGTGGCTTAATGTCTGTAATCTTAATATTTTGAGAGAACAAGGTGAGAGTATTGCTTGAGCTCAGGAGTTTGAGACTAACCTGGGCAACCAAGCTAGACTCTGTCTCTATAAAAGGGTCTAGGCATGGTGACATGCACCTGTAGTCCCAGCAACTTGGGAGACTGATGTGGGAGGATTGCTTGAACCCAGGAGTATGAGGCTTCAGTGAGCCATGATTGCACCACTGCACTCCAGCCTGGGCAACAGAGTGAGACCTTGTGTCAAAGAAAAAAAAAGAGAGAGAGAGTCAATGATTGTTGCCAGAAGCTGGGGAAATTAGGAGGGAGTAGTGCATGGGAGATGTTTATCAAAGGATGCATAATTAATGTTAGAAGAAATATTATTTCAAGAGATCTATTGTACAGCAAGGTGACTATAGTTAATGATGACATATTGTGTTCTGGAAAATTTAAAAAGTGTGGATGTTATGTGCTTTCACCAAAAAAACAAATGATAACTATATGAGGCAATGTATTCATTAATTAGCTAGATTTAACCATTCTGGAATGTATATGTACTTCAAAACATCATGTGATACATAATGAAACCACAATATCACCTGTCAAATAAATACTAAAATAAAAAATAAAAATAAACCCATTTACTTTCACCTTAGCATCCACGCTATTAACCAATACAACAATTTGCCTATAACCCAAATTCCACAGAAAGACCAGAAATAGAGAAAACCTAAAAAAAAAAAATGATTGAAAGAGTGAATTTTCAAACCTTAAGAGAAAGATATATATAGAGAGAATCAAATACATGCTTCTAAGGATAGGAAGTAAAAGCAGAAGGTATATACATGTTTAAGGAATTTGAGGAAAAAAAGGAAGAAAATTAGGTCACAACCACAAGTAAAACATGAATTAAAGCTATAATGTAGTAGGATAATTTTTCTACTTTCCTTATTACAAATCCATTATTTTTGATTAATGACTTTTTAAGAATGTCTCTTTACTTTTGGCCACAGATTGAGGTCAGTGGTATGAGGAATAACAAGCAAAACACAGAATTATGTTTACAAGTAGAAATCTAGTAACTGTAGACTTGTAAAGCACATATTTTACATTGTGTCACAGAGTTCTGTTTCAATTTTGTTAATTATATAAGGAAAATAAAATAGGTTCCCATAAACATAAACTGGAAGTAAACATTGTCTCTGGTTGTACTAAGTTCACAGTGTCTTTTATTCTAAGAATTATCAAAGGCTCATAGCTGCAAGATGTTAAGAAATTGTATACTTTATATCAGTAGACCATAGGTAGAACATCACACTGCTAGGGTTCCACAGTCCACTTCCCAGGGAATACAATAAACAGTGGTGGCAACATGCAGCCAGTCAGGTGGGGAAGATAGTAATGTGCTAGAATGAAGTCCAGTTTTAAAAAAAGATTCAGATGATTGCACTATCCAAAAAACTGGTAAGTCTGTGAACAATTGTACAAAGTGTCAAGACTACTTTAAATTGGGTTTAGAAGGAAAAATAACAGTAAATTCTGAATCAACTAAACCAAATGAAAACTCATATCAGGCTGTCCACTCCAGTGCACACATTACACGATAGTTAAGGATGATGACACATCTAACCAAGAAAGAAAATGTTTGGAGATGGACTTAAAAATAAGAGAAGGGGTTGCTCTGCTGCTCATTCCAGTATGGAGTAAAAAAGTAAAAAGTAATAACTGTCTTTAAAGGGTGTGTCACGCATCCCAAAATTAATATTCCAATATATTAAGAAACATGTCTTGTAAATACCTGTATTTTCCCCCTGAAAATATGGGCTGTTGTATTATTCACAAACAAAAAAAAAATCATAACCATCTAAGTATTTAGGATGTGACTTCATATAGTATCTGTGGGGATCCTGGTTGCTGGGATTATGTGAAGAGAAGAGAGAAAAAATAGAATATGAAAGGTGGATGCCAGCTATTAAAATAGTTGGCAGTAGTTTGGTTTCAATGTCATGATAGCAGAAATCAAAACAGGTGACTCAGGCATATGAATGATAATTGTTACATAAGTATAACAAAATATAAAGATTTTAGGTGAATTAAACACCTCAACATCTAAATTTATGACCACATAAAAATAAGTCTTAGTGTAAGATTTTAGTACTATTGTACTCTTGTGTTAGCTAATGACAACAAAATTATAGTATGGCAATAAAAATAGTTATTATGTTTTGAAAAAGATCAAACCATGTGTTCTAGTAAATGAGAACATAGTTCTTTAAGCTAACTATCTATATAAATATATAAATCTTATTGCCATAATATCAATGTACCTAAATTAAAATATGTGAAACATCCTAGGGGTTTATTTAGAATCATGGTGATGTATTGATTTAAGGTTTTTTTTTCTTCCTATTACAAGGGTTTTTTAACAAATAATTTCTGAAAAGTTTTGCAAAAACAAATTCAGAATGAAATTTTAAATTGACCTCCAGAAATACATTATCAAAGAGAAATCAAGTGGATTGTAGCTTCTATCTCATAGTCTAGTGGATTGTACATAAAAATAGTGCCTCCTTGTACCTATAAAATATGCACTTGTATCTGTAAATGGATTATCAGGAGAAATTACAATTTCTTGTAATCCTAACAAGAAATAGACTTGTTAGAAATAAAGACAATGCCATGTTCAAGTTGGATCAACTTTTTCAATCAATGCAAATATATAGGGCATAGGGCATAATATAACCCCACACTGTATTTTTTTTCTTATTTTTTCATTTGGAAGACATGATTCTACATCACATTTTTTTGATATTCCAAAGGGACTCAGTTAACAAAAATATTATCCTCAAATTTTCTCTAATTTTAAGTATATTCTAATGGGGAAAATTTACAAAAAAAAAAGGAAGAAAGAAAAACAACAACAACAAAAAAACCAGGTTGAGTCAGGATTTACTTTCGGTTTATCTTTCTTCTTTAACATGAGCTTTAAAATAATGATAAAAAAAATCTTCTAAAAGGAAAAGAGGACCCTTCTTCACCAAAGGAGTTGGCTTGATGAGAAACCCGGGAATGCTGTCTTACTCAGCCACAAACTAACATTGTTAAAGTAGGCAGATAGCCAGACACAAGCAGGAGAGAGGAGACCCTGAGACAAGGGAGGTCTGGAAAATCTCACACCTCCGAGATCACCTGAAATATGCATGCCGAATATAAGCAGAGAGGAAGGAAAACACCTAAGAAAGAAATGCGCCTTAAGATGGCCAGTAATCATTCACACTGCAGATAACCTGTCAGAATGTAGCTAGGGTACATGTTGATAAGGAGAAAGGGCAAACGAGGAAGTTCCTAGGAAATACATAGGCAATAAGTATAGATTTCTGCACTGTACAACCTTCCTGGTATGACATTAACGAGCAATGCAACCATTTGGTAGATTCGTATCCAGCACTGGCCAGCACATGCACACCAACTAATTAATTACCAAGCTTGGGGTCGGAACTAGGTGGGGACAAGGAGGGGATTTAGACAGAAGTGGAAAATCTAGACAAAGAAAAAAGGCAGAGACAAGACAGAGGTGGGAATTTCAAGAAACAATGCGACATCATGAAAACTCAACAAGGAACTTTTCGGGCTGCTGCTGCTGGCTCATTTCTCTTCAGCATCCCACTCTGTTTCATGTCTTCAGAGTGTACTGTCGCTCTAAATAAACTCTCTGCTCTAGATTTTCTTTCAATAAATTTTCTTTTTTTGGCTAAATCAGTCACTTGGATGATTCTTTCTCCAAGTGAGACTAAGAATCACGGATTCCTGCACTTCCCAATGGCAAAGTCAGTGTCACAGCCTTCACATCACTGAAAGCCCTACAAGGTGGGCATAGAAGGAGCCCATGGATCCTACAGTGAGAAGAGCCTACAGAGGTCTAAACTTACTACTGTGTCTATTCAAAGATCCCTCATATGTCAGCAGAAACAAAACCATTCAGCATTTTAAGATATTGAGATACTCTGTGTCTTTAGTGCACGGCAAAAGAGAAAATAATTTAAATCAGGACTAACATATTGTTTATACTGAAATTTCATTTGAGCAACGATCAATTTTCACTATTTTTTATATTTTAGGTTATGTCTTTGAAAGCAGGGATAGTATGTCCTGTTTACTGCCAATCTCCAAATCCTGGAAGATGTGCTTGTCAAATATTAAGGACACAAAACTGTATGTTTTATTTATGAAAAGTAAACCACAAATTTATATGCTCTCTTAGATAATTGCTAAAGTCACAAAAACAGCCTAGGGATTAGTAGGTGGCTTTACCAGTAACATAATTGGAGTATTTGACAATTTTGTGGACTTACTGCTCAACACTTAAATCAAGTTGCATGAGAAGAAAACTAAAATGATTAGTGAATTTGAAGACAAAATACATGTAACAAATAAGAACATTTTTAAAACTCATATCTGTCATTTCCCAGCTTAAATCCCTTCATTACTACTCCTCTTTGAGGTATAATATTTTTTACGTTATAAGAAAAATCTTTTTGGGAAATGCTTCTCATCCATCCTTTCTTCAAACTTCTCAGCATCTTCCACTTTTTATTTGCATGCCCCAATCTCGCCGTCTTAACTTGTGTTCAATTTCCTGCCTAAGCATGCTGCTCCCCCTCCCCACTAAGCTTTCTGTCTAAACATGTTGCCCTAGTCTTCATCTGACTAATTTGTATATATGTTTTAGCCCTTAACGTTAAGCCTTCAGACTTGGTGTAAGTCCTTCTCCAAACATGTTCCCGTGCCATGTTCCCACTGTCATATCACTTATGACATTATATTAATATACCTTGGTTACTCATAAGTTTCCTAATCTTGACATCAAATATGAGAAGTATAGACTCCATGGGAATCTCTCTTGGAAATATCTTGTGCCTAGTATGAGTTTTGTCACATAGTAGGTGTTAAGTAACTTTTTAATTTAATGGCTGAATTAATGTACATTTTATTGCTTGAATAAACAAATTTGGAGGAACTGATTTTTCTAAACTATTACCTGGATAGTGCAAAGAATGATTTTATATTATCATTTATCACCTCCCACACACTATGCAGTCATATCCAATATAATTCAAAAACACGTTATTTTTTGAACAAGGAACAAGGGAGAGATAGAAACACATACTATAAACAACTATTTTATATAAGGGGTTTTACACAGTTCGAGAAGAAAACTCAGTAAGTTTCTGATTACAATGAACAATGTAAAGTATTTAATTTAAACTTAGAAATAATTTTAAAATAATATGGAATATAGTATTTTCCTCAATCTTATACAAATTTATAATACCACCATCTGATTTTGAATGCATTTTTTAAAATAAGAACTAGAAGTAGAATTGGAAGAAGTTGAATTATGATGTCTCTTCTGAGATGATTTTTTTTTAGTGGGAATTACTATCTGATACAAAGATTTTCACACTTTATTTCAAGTTTCACATATCTACTATCTTGCCTCTATTCCAAATCTCCTTGTCCCCAATATTCCCATTTTCCTGTTTCTGGCCCCCTGACCATTCAACTAGGCCATTTAACACAGCACATGTATCCATATATATTTTAATCTTGGTTAACTTCCTGTGCTACATAAAATAGATAATTAGATTAACATATGAAGCTTTGTCATTGAGGGGAATTCCCGTACCTCATACTTTTCAAGAGCGTTGCTTAGTACAACTGCTGTACATCTTCCACTTACATTTGTATCCCATGCCAACCCTTCTGTAAACCAAGGACAGGCTTTTTTCTTTTCTATCAGCTGGTTACGTATGATCAACCATATGGCCATAGAACTCAGGGAGGGTTGTGCTGCTACTACAGCATTAGTGAATGACATGGTTTCTGGGAACCCTGCCATTGCACCTTGATTTTTCACCTACTTAAAAACAGATATGCAACTGCCAAGCATAGTATAGATTTCTTCTTGAGTCTGCTTGAATTTATGATTTGGTGCCCAGGATAGAACTTGATGGTCAGTTACAAATACATAGACACTTGGTGTTCACTGTTTAATTGCTTAATTTCTTCCAGACCATGTTAAAAGTTGTTTTGAAAATGGAATTTAATTATCTGCTACAGATGGTCTAAGCCTTGCTTCAGGATCCCAAGAGCCAATGTTTTGCTTCTCCTTCTGGGCTTGCCATAACCTGTTCACAGCAGCATTTTTTTCAGTTCTTAATATAGCTAATATTATTGAGTCTACTTAGTCAATATTATTAGGTGGCAGAGCTTCTTTTGTCACAGACTGAGCACTTTCCTCTTCCAGAACCCACTGGAAAACTTATTTCACTGGGCATATGATCTAGCGAAGTATTTTCCAGTGCGGAATAAACTGCCTCTGGAATCCCAAAGACCAACCAGGTATTATTAATTATTCTTCATAGTGAAAAGAGCAAAATTTAATATTAAGTGAGGCAATACCAATCCACTGAGAATTTATGCTCTGTCAGATAGTTAGTGCCAATCATATTTTACAGATTAGGAGAGTAATAACTTGGCCAAACTACTAATATCATTTTATATCTATATTTCAGGTAAAAATAAACTTACAATATATCCTATAAAATATTTCTTTTTAAAAAAGATATAAGTGTTTTACTTATACTTTCTTCATGTCATTTATAAAATAAAATTTGACTCTATATATTGTGAAAATGAATGGGTACTATTTTGAAAGATCAAAACATTTTAAGGTATGCTAAGCTTTAAGACCATTTTTGAATCATGGGTTTAACATGCCTGTTCATGCTCAAAAATACAGATTTTGGTAATGTATTTTCTAAAAATATAATCTCACATGACTTTATTTCAGCCATTAATTTTGAGTAAGCACATATTGAAATTAGAGCTATAAAGTATAAATGAATGTTTCATATAGTGTAAAAGTTCTAAAGTGGTTCTATATAAATTAAAGTTAGGGTGCTAATCTTTCACATATAATAGCTGATGTCTCCATTGCTCTGGTGGAGCAGTGTTGCTGTTCATTCATTCCTTTACCTAGCAACAGCTGTATTCCTAATAACTCTAGAGAATTAAATACAGTTCATTCTTCTTTTTATTTAAATTTTTCTGTTTTTATTTTTAATTTTTAGAGATAGGGTCCCACCTGCTGCCCAGACTGAAGCATAGTCCCATGATAAGAGTTCACTGCAGCCTCAAACTTGTGGGCTTAAGTGATCCTCCTGCCTCAGCCTCTCAAGTGACTGGGAGTAAAAGTGCCAGCCACTGAACCTGACTACAGTTCATTCCTTTTAATCAGTGTGCTAAATCAGGTATCTGATGCAATTGGCTTAGGGTACTGTTGAGAGAGGAAGCAGTTAGAGGCTGGTTAGGCAGAGAGAGAGGGAGGGTCTCGGGAGAAGGACAGAGAAAAGCAATCTTCACAGGAACAACCTCAGAACAGCACCTACACTCCTTCTGTTAATGTAGTTAAGAACTTCCCCTTGTGCCAGGACATTGCTCAGAAGGGACTGTCCCAACTTTGGCTCAGGAACAATAAATCAACCTAAATGTCCTTAACTTGACCCAGCTCATTATAATGACATTAATGTGACATTAGCATTGTGGTTTTTGCTCCACTATGGGTTTCACTTAGGCACCAATGGGTAATAACCAAAATGGAGTCACTCTGGCCAACCCCAGGCATGCACAGATTCAACATCCCTTGGAGGGAACTTTACTCCTCCCACAAAAGACTTCCTGGCTTCTGCCACAAGAAGGACACAGCAGAACTCAGCCCTGTTTCTGACAACCTTCTTTCAGGCCCCTTATCTTTGGTGAGAGCTTTCCTTTTGCTTAATAAATCCTATTCTACTTACTCTCCAGTGTCCACATGCCTCATTCTTCTTGGTTGTGGGACAAGAACTCTGACCTGGCTGAACTAAGGACTAAGGAGACTGCAACACTGTTACTGAAAAAAATTTAAAAAATTATAAATATCTAAAGAAGTTTTCTTTAAAAAAAAAAAAAAAAAAAATATATATATATATATATATATATATATATATATATATATATATATAATTATACTCTTGTGTGGTTCAACAAACAAGTAACCAGGGAAAACATATTTTTTTTTTTCTTTTTGAGACAGAGTCTCACTCTGTCTCCCAGGCTGGAGTGCAGTGGTGCAATCTTGGCTCACTGCAAGCTCCACCTCCCGGGTTCATTCCATTCTCCTGCCTCAGCCTCCCGAGTAGCTGGGACTACAGGCACCCACCACCACGCCCAGCTAATTTTTTTGTATTTTTAGTAGAGACGGGGTTTCACTGTGTTAGCCAGGATGGTCTTGATCTCCTGACCTCATGATCCACCCACCTTGACCTCCCAAATTGCTGGGATTACAG
Organism: Homo sapiens; assembly: GCF_000001405.40. Lineage (NCBI taxonomy): Eukaryota > Metazoa > Chordata > Mammalia > Primates > Hominidae > Homo > Homo sapiens. The sequence continues at coordinate 131,191,616 of NC_000004.12, read as the reverse complement.
GCATGAGCCACTGTGCCTGGCCGGGAAAACGTATTTTAAAATGTTCCTTCAGTTAGTTTTCCTTAAGATGAAAAAAAAGTGTAGCATAAAAGTCTATTAGTACATTTTTGAAATGTAACCACTAATTTTGAAGAGTAAGAGTATGACACTTAAGGAAAGCTACTTTATTCTTTGTGCTTGATTGTCTATGCAGACTCACTGCTTACTCTAGGGTGTTAAACAATATGTTGTCTAGTCACTAGAACCAGTTTCAGATAGATCAGATAGATAGATACAATAATAGATACATAGATACATAAATACATAGATAGATACATAGAATGTTACTAATCTTGCTTTGTATTGTGTGGGCTCTTTTCATCTGGTAACTCATATTAGTTTTGATAGTTTTTCTGCACTATTTTGTGATTTCATTCTACTTGTTTTCTCTATTTTTTCTCTTTTTTTTTGCACTCCTATTTTTGGACACTGTCTTCTAATTGCTGTATCTTACCTTTTCTACTTTCCATCACATTTTATTTCTGCTTTACTGCCTTGAACAATTTTCAACTTTTATTACAGAACTTCAATTGGAAGTGTTCCAATTTCTGCTATTATGTTTTCATTTTTCACAGTTATTTTTTCTTTTCCAGAATATATTTACTATAGTATGTTGTTCTATTTAAACAATGCTATTTCTTCTCTTATCACTCATATTAGTGAACATTTTCTGCAGTTTTGTCACCCTATATAACCTTGAATTTCCTGTTTCTTTTTTCTCATTTGCTTGAGTTTTTAATTTTCCATGTTACAAGTTTTCTAAAAATATATAATTTTTCAGTATCTGTTCATGATTAAGAATGAGGGACTAAACATAAGATTGGAAGCTCAAAGTGTATCTGTTAGACTTGCTGACTGTTGAGTTTTACTGGATAATGATTTCAGTTGCTTTTGGTGTATACCAAAATGAGAAGCCAGTATTTCAGTCTTTGCTCTTTAGTTTTCCAAAAAGAGTCTTCTAGGCTCCTTTTAAAGTGTTCTGGATAGTAGATAGAAGAAGAGGGCCAGTTTTCTGCATTCAATAGTATTAATTACCTCCATCTCACAGTTTTTAGTAAATCCCTTATGCTCTCAAATCTCTTAGCATTCACCAATTCAGACACCGTACATTTTATCATTTGTAGAGAATTATTCTCTGGATCTCTTTCTAGGTGGAGGAAAACTTCCTACCTTGTGCTATAGATTTAGAGAGGTTATCTAAGTATATAACTGCTTCTCAGATTGTCATCTAATCTTCTTTACTTTGCCCTGATACCTTTTAATTTCCACTGGAGTGAAACATGGTACTCCAAATTCTTGGGCATTTTTAAGAATTCTGTCATTTGAATTGTTTTGTTGTCATCTTTCTCCATAGACATATTAAATCCAGCTTTTTGGGGGTTTGCAAGTCAGATATCAGACATTCATATATTTTCATACTTTCATAGATTTAAAGTTTTCCTGAAGTTTTCATGGATTTAATGGGCATTTTCAATGACAGAATCAGATACATTATTTAATCTGCTACTTTCCCTGGGGATAAAAACACAATTTTTCAATGTGCAAACATGTCACATTTTATCCAGCCATTCCATTGTTTATTCAACAATATAATATCAGATCTTATATTGTTATTATTAACAATGAGGATTGTACTAAAATGTCTGTATATTTATTTAATTATTTCTCCCTCGGATTAATGCCCTAAAAATAATGTGTTGAATACGCACGTTATTTTGTTTTTATTATTATTAATTTTGCGACAAAGTCTTGCTTTGTTACCCAGGCTAGAATGTAGTGATGCAATCATGCTGACTGCCGCCTTGACCTCCCAGGCTCAAGCAATCCTCCCACCTCAGCCTCTTGAGTAGCTGGGACTACAGGCACGAGCCATCACAGCCAGCTATATTTTTTAATTCTTTGTAGAGACAGGGTATCCCTATTTTGCTAAGGCTTGTCTCAAACCCCTTGGTTCACTCTATCTTCCCACCTCAGCCTCCCAAAGTGCCAGGATTATAGCTATAAGCCACCATGCCTGACATACCTCGATATTTTAGAGATTTTATTATATATATTATTACATGACTTTCCAAACATTTAATCAATTAGTGATCTTCCCTATAGGTATATAAACCATTAGTCTTACTCAAAAATTTTTTATTACATGGTAGGATTATGTTTTCTGACACACTATTACATTAGATGTAAACATATAGCTTACTTTGAACTAGTAAAATACATGTTTAAATGCCATGCAATAATTTGAAGTTACATCTCTCAGATCCAGCATATAATTCACAACATTCTTTTCATATTAGCTAGGAAATTGTGAAAGAAAGTTCCAAAGTGGAGCTTCTACTGGTCTTGTGCTCTACTAGACTACAACTAGCAAAGAGCCTTGCTATATGTGACATGAGTGAGAAATAGCCATTTCATTAATTTGTTGAGCTTTTTTTAACAATGAAACCTAGCCTATCCTAACTCATTCTGAATATGTTTTCCAAATATTTTTCTAGATTTCAGTCTTATTTATAGTTTTTTTAAATGTCATTGACGTTAAAATTGCCAGTAACATTTTTAGTAAAAAAACACTTTGTAACAGACACAAGCCATTTTTAAATTTTAGGTTACAAAATAACCTTTACAAAGTATATATACAGAATTTTTCTGTAAAAGATAACTTATTTTGCATGTGAATACATTCTAAAATTGTATTGCATATCTACAAAAGACAGGATTACACTATGTTTTGAAAAAATAGGACATTCTAATGTTTGGTGATTTATAAATTTAAAAAAATGTTAACTTAATTTTTCTGCATATGGCTAGCCAGTTGTCCCAGAACTTTTTATTAAGTAGGGAGTCCTTTCCCCATTGCTTATTTTTGTCAATTTTGTCAAAGATCAGATGGTTGTAGATGTGTGGCTTTATTTCTGGGTTTTCTACTGTGCTCCACTTGTCTATGTGTCTGTTTTTGTATGAGTACCATGCTGTTTTGGTTACTGTAGCCCTATAGAATAGTTTGAAGTTGTGTAATGTGATATCTCCAGCTTTGTTCTTTTTGCTTAGGATTTCTTTAGCTATTCAGGCTTTTTTTTTTTTTTTTTTTGGTTCCACATGCATTTTAGGATAGTTTTTTTTCTAATTCTGAAAAAATAATGTTGGTAGTTTGATAGAGCACTAAATCTATAGATTGCTTTGGGAAGTATAATATTTTAACAATATATCTTTCACTGTATACAAAAATGAACTAAAGATAGACTTAAGATTTAAATGTAAGACCTCAAACTATAAAAATCCTAGAAAGAAACCTAGGAAATACCATTCAGGACATTGGCCTTTGCAAAAAAATTATGACTAAGTCCTCAAAAGCAATTGCAACAGAAACAAAAATCGACAAGTTGGACCTAATTAAACCAAAGTACTTCTGCACAGCAAAAAACTCAATATAGAAAACAGACAATCATCTACAGAATAGGGGCCAAGATTCACAAACTATACATCTAACAAAGGTCTAATATCCAGAATCCATGAGGAATGTAAACAAATCAACAAGCAAAAAGTAAATAACCTTATTAAAAAGTGGGCAAAGGATATGACCACTTCCAAAAACATATAAAGGTGGCTGACAAAAAAAATTCTTAACATTACTCATCATCAGAGAAATGCAAATCAAAACCACAAGGTGATACCATTTCACACCAGTCAAAATAACTATTATTAAAAAGTCAAAACACAACAGAAGTTGGTGAGGTTGTGGAGAAAAGGTAATGCTTATACATTGTTGGTAAGAACGTAAGTTAGTTCATCCACAATGGAAAGTAGTTTGGAGATTTGTCAAACAATTTAAAACAGAACTACCATTTTACCCAGCAATCCAGTTACTGGGTATATAACAAAGGAAAACAAATCATTCTATCAAAAAGACACATACATTCATGTATTTATTACAGCACTATTTGCAACAGCAAGGACATGGAATCAACCTGGGTGCCAACCAGTTGTGAATTGGACAAAAAATATGTGGTATGAATACACCATGGAATACTATGCAACCATAAAAGAACAAAATCATGTCCTTTGCAGCAACATGAATGCAGCTAGAGGGCATGATCCTAAGCAAATTAACAAAAAAACAGAAAACCAAATACCACATGCTCTCATTTGTAAGTGGGAACTGAACATCGGGTACATTGGACGTAAAGATGGGAACAAACACTGCAGACTACTAGAATGGGGAAATAGGCAAAGGGCAATAGCTGAAAACCTTCCTATTGGGTACTATGCTCACTAGTTGGGTGATGAGACCTTTTATATCCAGGTAATAAACCTGCACGTCTACCTGATGAATCAAAAATAAAAGTTAAAATTATTTAAATAATGAATAAATAAAAATAAATAAATAAAACAGTGTTACTGTAAGGTTAGTGACAAATGAACTGATTGTTCTTTTGTCAAGCCAAAATCCAGTCTTCACTTCTTTCTTCAATACAAAATAACCTTACAAAAAATTCAGCCATGCTCAGATACAAAATTATTTTCATCTTCCCATTGCAAGAAAAGTGGCCAATAAGATGTAAGCAGAACACATTGGGTTAGATTAACACAGATGAGAAGTGACCCCTTTAACACTTGACACTTTCTTCTTTCTATCACATAAACATTTGGTGTGATAGCTAGAGATGCAATAGCCATTTAGTGATTATGAAGGCTACAAAGAATCGCCTGGGCACGGTGGCTCATGCCTGTAACCCCAGCACTTTGAGAGGCTGAGGTGGGTGGATCACTTCAGGTCAGGAGTTTGAGACTAGCCTGGCCAACATGGTGAAACCCCATCTCTACTAAAAATACAAAAATTAGCTTGGCATGGTGGTGGGCACCTGTAATCCCAGCTACTCAGGAGGCTGAGGCAGGAGAATTGCTTGAACCCGGAAGGTGGAGGTTGTAGTGAGCTGAGATTGCCTCAATGCACTCCAGCCTGGGCAGTGAAGTAAGACTTCATTTAAAAAGAAAGAAAGAAAGAAAGAAAAAGAACTACACAGAATTTAAAAAAAAATGTAGTACTGTAAGAAGTATAAAGCAGTAGTATGACCTATTAGGCACTATGAGTTCATATGGTAATCCTATATCTTTTGAGAATGATAAAATATAACCTCTACTTTTTTAAGTCAGTTTTTGCCTTGTTATATGTAGCTAATATTAATCCACCCTGATATACCAATTTATTCATAGTCCAAAGCATGTTTTTAATACTCTTCTAAATAAAATGTTTGTAGTTTAACTTATGTTTTTGCATTTTGATTCTCGTTTATATCATGAACATATCACTTATTTATATATAACATCTATATATGTCACATTTTGTTAATCTCCAGAGATATCAAGTATACACATTTTATACTCTACTTTTTCTATTAAGTCCTTTACCAGGTTTAAGGTCTTTCATTTGTAGAGTTTTGTCTTGTTCATAATATTTGCTGTCTTCAAATCCTTGTGATTCTCAACAGTATGGTCAGTTTTGAAGTTCAATTTGTCTGCTCTTCTGTCCTGCTTGTTATTTTGTTATTTTAATTGGATATGCAAGAGGCATGGGATTTGTCTTAGTCTTCTATTGTGCCTATAACAACTTGTCATAAATTTAATAGCTGAAAACAGCACAAATCAACAAGTTTGAAGCCCAGTGAGAGTGGGTGGTTTCTCTGTTCTGTGTCTCACAAACCAATGTGTAGTCAGGTCCGTGTTCCTTTCTGGAATTTCTAGCAATAACTCATTTCCAGGCTCATGCAGGTTGCTGACACAATTCAGTACCAAGCAATTGCAGACTGAGGTCCCTGATGTTTTTCTGGCTCTTGGCCCAGGGTCACTTGCAGCTTCTAGCCACCACCTGAACTCTTTGGATTGTGGAGCCCTTTCTCCATCTACAGCACCAACAAGGGTGGATCAAGCCATTTTCACACTTTGAATCTCTCTGACCTCTCCATCTGCCTTATCTCTTCTGCCTCTTCTGCTTCTGCATATATCTGACTGACTATTCTGCCTTCCTCTTTCCTTTTAAGGATCCATGTGATTACACTGAACCTACCTGGATAAATTTCCCTATTCTAGGATCAGGTGATAGTAACTTTAACTACAAAGTTCACTCACAGTAGTTTACATTAGTCTTTGATTGACTAACCACAAATAGGAATGTTTGAATGAGTAACTAGAGTATAGAAATATTGGGGGCCATGTTTATAATTTTGGCCAGGACAGAATTACAAGATAGATTTACCATTCAGAGGCACCTCAGCAGCTGCCCTTCCAGATACAATCTTCTTTTAGTTTCATTACTAGATATTAGGAGTGTCACTTTAACTCTCAGAAAGAACTCTCATCCTTTGAGCAGTCCTGGAGGCAGACCCCTCCAATAGCTTTTTGACTCAAGGAGGATAGATTGTAAACCTTTTGGCTGCTCCTGCCCCTCTACTTCAATTAATCACTGTAAATAGCCCCTGTAAAATAGCCCTGTAAAAAGCTATAGACTGTAGCTTGCTAAACTTGCTACTGCATTCCACCATCTTGACCATGTTATAGGTTGGTGCTTCTGATCTCAAGCTGTAATTTCCCTTTCAAATATGGGTCTATTTGCATTATCTAAATAATTAATTTCTCATGAATCTTGATTCCCCCAAATCGTTTTTTCTCATTTTTGGCGTAACTTTTATTACTTATGTATGTTTTTCTATGAGTCTCGGAAACTTGGTATTGAGTTGTTTATAGCAGCAGATATTCTATATGCCATGTAAAAATAGAAGTTTAATCAAGCTATAAAAAGACAATAAAAAATTGTAATATTATGAATGATAGAAATCTCTATTTGTCTCTTTTTCTCTGTATATATACTCCCATATGTAATCCTTATAAATTATTGATATATGTATGTATACATGCATGCATATATATATATATAACCAACAATTTCCTGGATTTTTAGTATCTTAAAACAACAAAAATAAACATTTCTTTCATTGAAAAATGATCACCACCTTATGTTTTAAGTTACTTTTGGATTTATATTAAGTTACTTTTGGATTTATACTTTACATAGAGTAATCAGCTCTAATTTATATTTTATATACACATAAATTATGTATATATGCATGTGTGTGTATATGTATCAATTTGTAGATACAACATAAATATAAGTTGTAATATTTTGTTCCTACAGCCAAGGAGATATTTATAAATGTATATTTGTGCCTGAACTGGTTTAGGGAAACTTGAACATGAAATAGAGTCATTGCTATTCATTCTATGCTTTCAGACCAGCCTAGGTCAATGAAGACATCTGGTGTTTAACATTTGGCAGATGCTCAGTAGGCTATGATATATGAAATAGTTTGGTGGTCTGACTTCACTTTTCATTGAATAATCGTCAGGTAGCGATTAGCGGCCTATGAGCAACTTGGCAAACAGTAAGGGATGCTCCATGTTGGAATTCTTTTCTATCTATACACAGTTTTTAATATCAGCAGTAAAATACATTGGCAGAAGACTCTGTCTATGTCACTCTTCCCTACTGTTCAATAAATAAAAGACTTTAGCTGCCAGTACAGATTATATCTTTCAAGAGATCCAAGTGTTTGAAAGTACGGGAAAAACTAATTATAAAGTGCTAAGCATATGCACACTCACAGGAAACATTTTAGAAATGATTAATATTATTATCTATCTTCATAAAAAAGAAAAGAAATATTTTTCCAAATTAAACATCTAAAATAACTAGATATTTAGTAAATATTTATTGTTGGTTGATTAGTTGTTAACTGTTTTTATTTTATTCAAGCAATTTTCTGTTTTAATACAAATAATTGTTCTGATTGTGCAAGCATTCAGAATTTTAGTGTTGCAGGGAAATGTTTTTTATAAAAATAAAGCTTATTAGAAATGTATATGAAGGAAAGTATATTCAGCACACCCGGAAATCTTGGATCAAAGCATATCTCTGTAAAATAGTGCCTGACATTGAACAAGATTACTTTTATTTTTGAGGTTTGTAAACATTTTTTTCAGAGGAAAGTCTTAATTATTTTAAAATACTGTACTACATAAATAACTTTTTGAAGCAGTACTGCATAATATCTAATACATAAATGCTGACATTTATTTAATAAATAATTAGTAACCGTATATTACTCTTGCAAGCCAGTTATTCTGTTATGTGTTATTGATCCAAGAAATGGGATAGTGCATATTTTCTTTTAGAAGTCTAAGGTCTAGATCAGTGATACATGTAGTGGAAAATATTCTCTGCCAAGAAGTTTGCAAGACTGTCTCTTTGTGTTACAGGTGAAGAATATCAAACTATTGAAATTTTGATATCTTTGATTCTTTTCTTTTTGGTCTGTATGTTAGGGGATCAATTCTGATATGTAATATGCTGGTTATCATAAGAAAATTGTGAATATTTAGAAACACAAAAAGACAAGCAAACGTTGTTTTAGAAATTATAAAATAATATATCTCTTTTAAGCTTGATTAATTTCAAGTTTACGTTTTTTGTTTAATTTCATTTAATCATAATTAAAATACAATCACAAAATGGCTTAAATACTTTCAAGAAAAATCAGATGAAGATATTAATTCAAGCAGAAGCATACACAAGAGGGTGATAGAACTGAAATTATTTTCTTTTACTTGTAAAAGTATATAACAACATCATAAGGTAAAATAAAGTAAAATATTAAAAAGATGTAAATATATAACCAATGAGAAAATCAGTTAGAGGTTAGAATCACAAGAAACACAGATTTCTGTGCAGATTTATTTTATGAAATATAGAAACTTGTCCTAAAGTCTCAATGGGGCCTGAGATACTAGAAAATAATAGGATTAAGCCGTAATTATTAGCAAAAGATTTCAAAATTTACTGTCTAGTATATGAAGAACAATTACTATAGCAATTTTTTAACAAGTCAGTCCATGCTTAACACAATAATTCTGTGGAAATACCCTTAATGGTAAAGATTTAGGTGGTTATTCTAGAGTTTCTTATTTAAAAGTAAAATTCTAATACCCCATACCATCAAAGTCATACTTGTTCTTGCCATGGTCAAACTGATCAAATAAAATATAGAAAGCAATATGGGATGGAAATAAAGTACCTTCTTTTGAAAGAAACATTCTCACAAGATTGAAAAATATTACTGATGATAAAAATACAAACATGTTTGTAGCATTTCAAAGGTGGAGAAGATTGCTGTAAAACTGGATGTAAGCTGATGCCAGTGAACCCACAAATTGGGAATGGGTTTGGGAAGGTTCTTGGCCACACTCAGGAAGAATTCAAGAGCAAACTGACAGTGAAAGAAAACAAGTTTATTAGAGTAACATTGCACAGCACAATGGCTGTTCCATGGACACAGCAGACTATCCCGCAGGCAGGGTAGCACTCGTGGGTTGCTGGCTAACTACATTATTACCTACTTCTAATTACATGCTAATAATAAGGGGCCGGTTTATCACAAACTTTCTAAAAAGAGACAGAGTTCCCAGAACCATATAAGGTAACTTCCAGGCATTGCCCAGGCAATTGTAAAGTGTCATGGCGCTGATGGGAGTATCTCATTGCATGCAAATGCATTATGATTTTTAGTCTTACCTGGTTTTGGCCTGTTTCTTTGCTACATCCTGTTTTGATCAGCAGAGTTACGAAAAAAAAGTCCTGCTGACCTCCTGCTTCAAAAGTATACAGGTCTCTACTGTATCTGAAATTGTGGTTTTCACAATATTCAATTTCAAAAAAGAGATGTATAAAGTACTATTTTCTGAACCACTGAAATATGAACTAGACAAATATAAAGAGTGAATATCTTTAGAAACCATATTTTATATTTAAAACTGTATAAATTGAAGCACCAATAGCATTTTGCTATTATTTTAAGTCTTTAAAAACTTCTGAGAAATTGTCACAGTTAGAAGCACAATTAACATAAATGAGTTGATTCTTTAAGGAAGAATTGCTTTTCTGCATTCCATGCACCTCTTAGAGAAGGAACTGGAAACCTGGGTATATAGCAAACAAAGCAGAAAGACATCCCTGCCTTCATGAAACTTCCATTGATTAGGGGCAGAAAATATGCAATATTTAAATACAAATATGCAATAAATAAATAAAATATAGACTATCTCAGAAAAATTCAACAGACGCAAGGAATAGGGAACATGAGGGGATGAGAATGTATCCATACTATTTTTAAAATGTGATTTTTAAGTTAATTCTGAGGATGTGACACTTGAGCAAAGATCCAAGAAAAAAAAAAACAGAAGAGGTTACTAATCAGGCATGATATGGAAGAGGAATGATTTTTCAGGGAAAGGAAATGTCAACTTCCAAGACTGTGCAGGACCTGTTTGACTAGTGGCAAAGAAGCCAGTGCAGCTTTAAAAAAAAAATGCTAGGAGAAGAGGTAGTGTGGTTGAGGTTCAAGGGGCCCACATTGTATAGTACACTTAGATCCTCTATTTTACTCAGAGTGAGACAATCATTTGGAAGGTTCTTCTGCTGAGCATAATAGAAGCATAATGTCCAATTTTTCAAAGAATCATTCTAGCCATAGAGTTGAGATGGGAACAAAGATGGGAAGTAGGGAGATGGTTAGGTGTGAACTACACAAAAGATAATGCTAGCTTGGCCCACAGAAAAAATGGTGAGAAGATGCTAGTTTATGGTGAGAAGATGCTAGTTTATGGATATGTTTTTGAACAAAATTGCCTCATTGATTGTGGTTTATGAGCCAGTGAAAGGAGTCAAGAGTTGAATCTATGTTGTTTTTATGTTTTGTTTGTTTTGATTTAATCCAAGCAAGCTATACAGCAAAGAAGTACCCAAACTACTATAATAGTAATGTGGTTAATTTTATAAAAGAAAATATTTAAATGTGTACTGTATTTTCTACTTTTTGAATGGAATGTGGAGTCTGTCAGTTTTTCTTGACACAAAGTTAATTAGCTATATTATGGAAAATTTTTTAAGAGATAGGATTTAATGTAAAGATTAATTAATTATGCATGTTTTCTTTTCTTTTTTGAGACAGAGTCTTGATCTGTCGCCCAGGCTGGAGTGCAATGGCATGATCTCAGCTCACTGCAACCTCCACCTCCTGGGTTCAAGCGATTCTCATGCTTCAGCTTCCCAAGTATCTGGGATTACAGGCACCCGCCAACACGCCTGGCTAATTTTTGTATTTTTAGTAGAGAGTGGGTTTTGCCATGTTAGCCAGGCTGGTCTGAACTCCTGACCACAGGTGATCTGCCCACCTCAGCCTCTCAAAAAGTGTTTTCTTTTCTCTTTTCCATAAAGATAGTAGATCTAAACTTATTTAACTTCCTTCTGAAAATATGTCAGTGACTTGTATGCTATCCAGTCACTTTTGAAAGAAAAAACACACATTTGATCTGTATCATCTGTATCCTCTAAGTAAAATAATGCTTTAACAACTAAAGAGAAAATAATAACTTTTGTGGAACTGTTTATCTTATAGAAAGCACATTTTGAAATGAATGTTTGCAAATATTACCAGTGTTATGTAATTTTGCATTGGAACCAATGTGACAATGCCACCTATTAAAGTTATTCTCTTCCCACATTACAAATAAAAGGAAATAGAACATCTTAACATACACATAAGTGTGTGTACAACTATAAACATATGCAGTGATATTAATGCATGCATATGTATGTACAAATTAATTTCTCATTGGTGTGCAAGAACAAATGAATAATATCAAAAACAGAAAAATTTACTTGCTGAATTAGAAGAAAAATGAAAACTAATAATTTGATGAAGTTGGAAAGTAAATTTTTTTTTGTACACAGGTAAGAGTACTTTTTTTATGTGGTCCTGTCTTTCTTGATGAGACACCCTTCTAAATTATGACTGTCATTAAAATCAAATATCAGTGTACAGTGCTCTATAATCAGACACTCAAAATACAGTGTTATACAATGTTGAAACAAGATATACAAAGACAATATAATATATCATAAAATTATTAATATATCAGAAAAAAATTATACAAATCATTTTACCTTTTCTTATTATTTTGCTTTATTTTGGGGTTTTATTTATCCTGCTCACCACATATTATTATAGTAGCATATGTATATTGTTTTGTCATAAATAGACATGGATTAGAAATGCATAAAATATTTTTAATGTTGGCATTCACAATTAGTGTGAAGATCACTGAACTAGAGAACAATATACACAAATACATATACAGTTAGGGCTCAATATGTTAAATACTTTTGTAAAGGGCACTAGCCCAGATTAGCTTGTGATGTGCACGCACGTGTGTGTGTCTGTACATGATTTTCAATAAATGCCCTTTATAAGTATTTGTTTAGATGTTTAGAAGAAACAAAATCGAAACTATATCTAACAGAATTTTATTCTACTTAATTAACTTCAATACCATTTGTATTGTTTAAGAACCTACTCTATGACTGAGATTTGTTAAATGTTCTTTTTTCTCATAAACAACATTTAGTGCAAGAAGGAGAAATAATGTAATCTCTGTCTTTGTCTATGTGATTTGCAAGATTTCTGAGTCAACATTGTTGTTAATTCCAATAACTTTTTGGTTTTTCTTACATTCCTTAATGCTAATTTAATAAGAGATTGTAAAGGAGTGAACAGGCACTGACATTTGTATCAACAATAGTATTTAATAATAGTAATGACAAAGTACATTTATTGTATGCTGCTATGTGTCACTCTTTCAATATTTTTTTTATGATTCAACTTATTTATTTCTCACAAGTGAGGTGAAATTCCTATCCAATTTTATAGATGAGGAGATTAAGAAACAGATAAATTATGTAATTCACCAAAGTTGAACAGTATGAAGGAGAAAGAGTCAATATATGAACTCAGGCAGTCTGTTGTTAAGTGTAGAACCCTGGAGTGTAATATCACTTTGCAAAAACCCATAGGACACTTCTAAATTTTTATGCTTTCCATGGTCTTTTATATTTATTTATTTATTTATTTATTTATTTATTTATTTATTTATTTAGAAATGGAGGAGTCTCGCTCTGTTGCCCAGGCTGGAGTGCAGTGGCAGGATCTCGGCTCACTGCAAGCTCCGCCTCCCCGGTTCATGCCATTCTCCTGCCTCAGCCTCCTGAGTAGCTGGAACTGCAGGCACCCGCCACCATGCCCGGCTGATTTTTTTGTATTTTTCATAGGGACGGGGTTTCACTGTGTTAGCCCGGATGGTCTCAATCTCCTGACCTCATGATTGGCCCACCTCGGCCTCCCAAAGTGCTGGGATTACAGGCGTGAGCCACCGCGCCCAGCCTTTCCATGGTCTTTTAAATGTTCTTTATACAAATATTTATGTTTTCAATCCATCTTGGTTAAGTTTTTTTAAATATTTTTTGTTAAATGAGTCGTTTTAACACTTCGAATTCTCAAGACTGATTTCATTTCCACTTGAAATTTTGGTGAAGTGTAACCATAGCCTGGAGCTACTCACTTTTTTCCCCCTATATTGTTTGCAAGCTTAACTAATCTAGAAGCACCAATGTTGGCCTTGAGCTGTACTTCCGTGGTGTTAATGACTGATATAATTGCCTTTTAAAGAAACATCTCTACTTGGAATAATTGCAAACCGTACCTTTGAGATAAAATTTGCAAAATGAGAAGGGTGGTGAATGGCTATTATGCACAAGCTCATTTTCCCAAACCTCAAGCTTTGATCTAATGTTAGACCTTGCAGCTAATTGTCCTGATGAATATTTTTCGTAGAGGTTAAGGATTCGTTTAGTAATTTATTATAAAGTAGATAATATGCATTTAGTCATGTTGCTACCTGCAGTAACTCTACTAAAGTAATAACATATTCTGTATTGACGATATTCAACAAAAATGCATACACTTGCAAATTATTAAAATTTTATTTTTTTAAAGAACCAGAGTTTGTCAGCATCGAAGAGTAATCTTCTAGGCCATTGATAGAGGAAATGTTTATTCTCCGTAATTCCAAAGAAAGGCACTAGAACTTGATTTAGGTGCAAATATTTGCAAAAAAAAAAAAAAAAAAAAAAAAGATTTTACATTTTCAGATGCATCCCTCTCTTTTATTTTGGAGACTATAATGTATAATTTTGAAGCTGTGAGGCCAGATTCAATGATAACATATTATGTTATAACCCATCATGTTAATGCAAGTTCAGGTATACCTTGCAAAAAATAAAGTCCCAGGAATTGTCTATATGTCACCCAGGAACTTTATTATTCTAATGTATTAGGTTAGCTTATAAATATAATTTGTTTTTCTACATTCTAACACAGGTATGGTTAATTTCATTATAGTATATCCAAATAGTAGAATGGATCTACCATGTCTATAGCATTCCTATATATCAAACTATTTATTCAAAATAACATATATAAACATATACAATTGTAGAATAATTTTCTGTCCCCTATTTGCTATTAAAGACCACTTTGAAAAGAATGTTATTTTTATATCTTTATATGCCTGTGTAACTGTATTTATAATAAATGTTAGAAAGAAAATTTTGAAGTTAAAATTTTGTACACTTTAAATAATTTCAGATTGGCCAAATTGCCTCCAAATAACTACAGAGGTGAAAATATTATATGTTATTTATATTATGTTTGTTTGTTTGTTTGTTTTTGAGATGGAGTCTTGCTCTATCACGAGGCTGGAGTGTAGTGGCACGATCTTGGCTCACTGCGTCTGCCTCCAGCGTTCAAGCGATTCTCTTGCATCAGCCTCCTGAGTAGCTGAGACTACAGGCACATGCCACCACACCCAGCTAATTTTTGTATTTTTAGTAGAGACAGTGTTTCACCATGTTGGCCAGGATGGTCTCTCTCTCTTGACCTCATAATCCACCTGCCTCGGCCTCCCAAAGTGCTGGGATTACAGGCTTGAGCCTCCGCACCTGGCCCTGTTTTGTTTTTTAATAATGAGTGTATAAGCACATTTTCACATATTTCAAGGTAATTGTACTTGACTGTTCATATATTTTGTCATTTTTTAAGATTGGTTTTTGGTATTTCCCTTTTAGTTTTTAGAACATAGATTAATAAAGACAATTAGCCTTGTTTGTGGTAATATAACACAATTTTTTCAGAATGCATAACTTGTTTTTTACCTTTGAATAAGGTATAACAGCATTTTTGGTAATGTGTATTATATTTTATTTTTTGAGTTTGTGGGTACCTTAGTAATGCTTTTCTCACTTCATGTCTTTTAATTAAAATTGTGCACTTCCATATAATGTATTATTTTGTTTTAATATTTAAACTTAGTGTAAAATCATATATTCATTTCCCATCAAAATTGCTAGTCTGTTGTATGTACAAAATATATTAAATATTTTATCTTGGCCAGGCACAGTGGCTCACACCCTTAATCCCAGCATTTTGGGAGGCCAAGGCAGGTGATCACTTGAGGTCAGGAGCTCAAGACTAGCCTGGTCAACATGGTGAAACCCCATCTCCACTAAAAATACAAAAAATTATCTGGGCAGGGTGGTGCACACATGTAATCCCAGCTACTGGAGAGGCTGAGACAGGAGAATCCTTGAACCCGTGAGGTGGAGGTTGCAGTGAGCCCAGATAACACCACTACACTCCAGCCTGGGTGACAGAGTGGGAATCCATCTCAAAAATAAATATATATATTTATGTATATATATATATTTATGTATATATGTAACATATATATGTTATCTTATGCTAAATCACCATAAACATTAGCATCTCTTTTTATACTTTTTATCATATTACATTAACCTGTTAAATGAATTATGTCAATACCGTTTTAGTTACTCTAATTCCATAACTTTTTTAGTGTTTTGCAAGCTAATTCATCGCTCATCTTTTTTTCAGAAATTTCTGTCTACTCTTGAATGTTTAGTATTCATATTAATACTCAAACTTTATAACTACCTTTCTTTTCCCACAAATATATATCCTGTAAAGTAAGCAAATAAATCTTAAAATCACATTTTTATTCTTATTGAGTCAGCCTTCTATTTAACATGTGTTTAGTGAGAGAAAGAGAGAAAATGTAAATTACTACACTGGTTTTTCAACCTAAATTAGATATGTTGCTTTTTAAAAATGTTTTCAATACTTCTTTTATGACCTTCGGAAGATATATTGTACATTTGTCCAGATCTGACCATTCATTAGTAAAGCATGGTTTGCTCTTCCTCTGTATCTTGTTTTGTAAATGGTCAAAGGAGGTAGACCTTTAGCACTGATCCCAGGTAATTAAGACACATTTACTAGCCTCTGCCATCTAAATGTTCATGGCTGCATTTGAAACTTGATGCAAAAAAAGGAAATAGTGCTCAACTTACTGCAAAGGAATGACATAAAAGTTGTTGCTCAGAATGTTGGTTCCATCTTATTGCAGAAGTGTCCTGCAGCAGTGCTGCCTGCTTCCTGGCCCTCTGAAGTTATGTCGTTCTTGCCAATATTCAAGCCTGGTTATTCAATCTCTTGTCAATACTCCTAACACATTTGTAATAGCTCCCCTTCTTTAATTGCAATGGTCAGTGGCTATTCTTGCAACAAAGAGACTGTCTGCATGACAGAGACTTCTAAGGGATAGACTAGGGAAAGGGAATCGTGAATGATGTCTTCTTTTAACTAGATTAGCCAGAAATGTATGAAATATAGGAAGGAAGTCATCTGGCCACCTGGGAGCAGGTCTTTAGGATGCAGCGTGGAAGTTAAAGCAAAGCTACGTAAATGAAACTGCAAGAAAATACCGATGCCTATTCACCAAGTGGGTAGAAATAGAGTGGCACATTTGATAATGAATATATTGAAGGCCAGAAAAAATAACGTTTTCAGCACATTTCTAGACTCTGTAGGTTTAATATCTTTTTAACCTAAGAAAATAAGCAGTTTTAGAAAATTATAAGTTAGATTTGCTACCAGGACCCTTGAGTTTCTTTATTCTAATTAGTAAAAAGGCAAAAATGAGATGATTGTTTTGGTAGAAATTAGTGCTTCCGATAATCGAGTAGATAAATCTGGGTATTGTGCAGTGAGCTCTTCTATTACCCACGTGTCCAATAATGATTATTAATGCAACACAAAGGGCCCCCAAAGAGGCATTAGCACCATGAACACACATCCTAAGAAATAAAGGTTTAGGTCATCCCAATTGACAAGGAGATTTATATCAGCTTGTCAGCAGAGTTGCAGACTAAACAAGTAGGTACTGGAAGGGGAAAACCATAAATTATGCTATTTACCCAATTACAGAAAAAGAAATTTTACTTAGTATGATTTTACCTTTCATTTTTATTTATCCTCCTTTTTCAGATAAGTGTGCATTGACAGTGGTGGTGGGGGTGTTTCACTTTGCTGATTTAGACCACAGTTTGAACAATCCGTGACAGGAATGTAACAATTAAAGCAGAATGGATATTCTTCAGAGGCAATGATGTTGGGGTGCATGCAGGAAAGAAGAAATTTAGGGTTGTATTCCTTTGGGAAAATAGAGACTCCCTTTTTTTAATTGTAAAAAAAAAGTTGCATTATTTAGGCAGAACCAAATTTGGAAATTTAATTAAGGAAAGCAAAATGAGTGCCAGGCTTAGGGAGCCAACAGGATGCACAGTATGCTTTAGTTCTTCATCATCCCACATCCACTTTCTACTTTCTGAAAATGACCAATTTTGTGTACCCCTTATGGGAGGCATTGCTCTACCTTCCCTTATGGAAGATGAATATCCCAAATATTTATCTCCCAGCTGCAAGGAAAATGGGACTTACATTTTGCCCAATCATAAACTGCTGCCCTATATTTTAAAATTGAAGCTGGCATGGCAAGTAATAAAACAGTGAAAATAATTTTTTGCATTTTCTGCACTAAGGATATCCAGTGGTGACAATCACCTTGTCCAGTGGAGGCAGCTGTGGTGTCTGGTGTTGGCACCAACACCATTTCCTGACAGTTTGTACCAGAGATCCTGTGTACATTCAATTCTTTGGTCCAACATAACTTTTTTAGTTTGTAACTGTTGTCGAGGCAAAATCCTCCAACAATAAATGTAATCTATAAGAACTTGGTATCTGCCCAATGGATTTCCTTTTTATTTAAGGTAAACAGAACAAATTAATCTCATTTAAGACCAATAACTCTAAGTATTATGGCATTTAAGAAAAAAGGCCCTAAATTTGAAGTTATAATCATGTGCATGAGTTTTTGTGTTTTAATTTTTTTATTAATAAAAAAACTTTTGGGTTGTTATACTATTTTAACTAGCTCCTGGTTTTTTATGTGGTATCTAAGCATTTTTGTCTATTAAATTGGTAACCAGCTGTAATAAAAAGTTATCTTATTTCAAAGTTTTAAGTTCATTTTCTGAAGTGTTTTAGGTATACAATGATATCAACTAAAGCAACAACAGTTTTGCGTCTTTCAATGTTTTTTACTAATTGGGATTGGGTAACACTTCTAGAATATTATTATATATTAATGTTTATGATGGATTAATCTTACATTATCCTTAAAATGTATGCATCTAATTATTCAGTATTATGCATGATTCTTATTATTGTGATATGCACTTTAATTTACATCAAGAAACAATATTTCCCATTTTATTACGTTTCTATCAGAAATGTATGCTACATTTTATGAAACGGCTATTTGGCACTTCTGGAGGTGACCATATATCACATTTTTTTGCACATTGACTTTCTTTTTTGGGGAGGGGGAGACAGTCTGGCTTCGTCACCCAGGCTGGAGTGCAGCGGCGTGATCTTGGCTTGCTGCAACTTCTGCCTCCCAGGATCAAGGGATTTTCGTGCCTCAGCCTCCCTCTCTGCAGGATGGGCCTGCTCAATGAAGACCCAAGGAGACCCAATGCCACTGTTCCAGTCTGACATCTGATGTTTCAGATGAAGTTTGAAAGTAGTCTGCTTATATAGGAGAGAGTCAATCTTTTTGTTCTATTCAGACCTTCAACTGATTGGATGAGGCTAATGACATTATTGAAGGCAATTTGCTTTACTCAAAAGTCCACTGATTAATATTATCCAAAAACACTCTAACAAAACACCCAGAATAATGTTTGACCAACAGTCCAGGCACTCTGTGGCTCAGCCAAGTTCACACATAAGATTAACTATCAAAGTCATAACTAGCCTTATCTCATAGCTTCTGAAATATTATTTTCATTCATTTTCTATATTAATTACTAGAATAAATATTGGTGTAGAAACTAGTATAGAAAATAATAAAAATAGGCTCGTTATGACTTTGATGGTTAATCTTACGTGTCAATTTAAAATGGGTAATCTTACGTGTCCAGTAGGAAATAAGAATGAAGTTATTACTGGTATTCTCTAGTTATTACTAGTAAGAATGGAGTTATTACTCTCTAGTAACTAGAGAGTACTAGTGATATCCCCATTCTTACTAGTAATCACTCCATTCTTATTTCCTATTGGACTTTAGACTCAAGAGAGTATTTTAAGTCTAAATTGTGTTATTTTATTCTTATTCTTGTTATTTTGCCTTCTGATTTACAGAATAAATGAACTGTGGAAAATGGAAATATATTTTGGTTTTCTTTAAGAAGTATGATATTGTCATTTTTCACCAATCCTTGAAGGGTCACTTTAAAATAGTGTACATTTTTGGGCTTGGCTGTATAGAGTCAAATAGTTATCTAGTATATATACTTTATTAAATATGTCATATTTGTATGCTATATACTTGTGTATTTGAGTGAAATAAAATGAATTAAAATCTTTTAATGCTTTGCTTTTGTCTATTTTTCTTTAAGTTTTGAAGTTATTTTATTTTTAAAGATTCATATTGAATCTAAGTATTTATATTAAATATTACCAAATATTTCACTACAGATCATACTCTTTGTTCTGTATTCTAATTTATGTTACTTCAAACAACCATAAAAAACTCAGGGAATATGTTGCTATATATGTAACTCTATTTAATTTATATCTAATATCATATGTTTCCAAATTATAGAGGCCTTTGGGACCTATGATATAATTGACTGTAGGCAAGGCCTTGAACTTGGTTGCAGTCATCTGAGTGAACAGGACTTTCTCTTCCTTTGGCAAGTTCATCAAGTGGAAAACAGGCTTCAGAGTCTTAGAGGATTAGAGGACTGTGGATATTAGGACATCTTGGTATTCAGGAAAGTGTGCTATGTCTCACTTTACTCCAAAAAGCCAAATGAGAACTGAAATGTATGGATTAGCCTCGTGTGTTCAAGAGGCCAGGACATAGTGGGAATACCACGAGATGATCTGCATATATTTAGCACGAGCTTATAACAGTCTTTATACCACAGTTGGTAGAAAAAAGCTCTTCAAATATTTGACAGGACATAAAGAAGAGAGAGTGAAATATTCTAAATACCTTATAATAATACATGAGAAATAATATGCATCTTGCTTACCAGTAAGATTAGACATATATTTCTGAAAAGAGTTCCAGACAGATGATGTTATTCTTTAACAAAAAGTAACATTACAGTAAAAACTCCAAATTAACACTGAATAAGTTGGAATTTCTAGCAACTTGATTAGGTCATATCTGACTTAAATTGAGGGGAAGGTGAGAAACAAATAGCAAACTGTCAACTCTACAAAGAAAATCTCACCATGATTTTCTCTCTTGAGATCCTGGCATGCTAGTGTTTAGCCTAGGGTCAGGTGATAGGATGATGTTATTTAAACTGTTTTTTGGAAATTACCTTTGCAAGTCTCATATAAATAGATGAACATCTTGCTCTATATTATGTGGAACAAAGTCAGGAAGATTTCCATATTAACATCCTATTACATGCATTTTATATATTTACTTAATGTGATTAAGTGATTGTGATTGAATACACAATGGTGTTTGTCTTACTGTTTTATAGTTACACCTACAAATTTGCACATTATACTTTTGCTTCTTATCACTTTCTGATAGTCATTATTCAGCCCTCATTATAGAGTAATAAAGAAATGAGGAAACTTACATCACCTAAATAGTCTTCTAATAAACATTTTTGTTAATTATTTTAGAAACTACAAATCTAGTAATGGTTTAATCATTGATTTGTAAACATTAAGCACTGTATATTTGATATTATGCTAAGGATGAGGGGTAAAAGCGTGAAATTTCACTTCCTTGTATCTTTCCTCACTAATGGTTTATTAACCTTAGTCATTTTGTTATTTCCACTTTCTTGAGGTTCATCTTATTGAAAATATGTTCTGTGAAATGATTAATAGGTAATACCAATGCTCAGCATTATTATGTTCCTCAGTATCTTAATTTTTCTCTTAATTTTCTAAACTTGGTCATCTTTCTTTTTCCTTGAAAAAAAAAGCCATTGATTTTTAAATTTTTGTCTATTTTTCCTATAGTATTTCTAGAAACATTTCTTGCTCTCTGGCTTGAAAAAAATAATACCACTGTCATTGAGTCTTATATTACTGGCCTCCCGTCCTAACATCCCCTCACCATCACACACACACACACACACACACACACACACTTCATACACATATCACCATAAATGACTTTTTTTTCTTGATATTCTTATATTTATTCTTGCAATTTAGAATATCTCACAGGGGCCAGGCATGGTGGTTCACACCTGTAATCCCAGCACTTTGGGAGGCCAAGGCAGGCAGATCACCTGAGGTCAGGAGTTCGAGACCAGCCTGACCAACATGGAGAAACCCCATCTCTACTAAAAAATACAAAATTAGCCAGGTGTGGTGGTGCATGCCTGTAATTCCAGCTACTCGGGAGGCTGAAGCAGGAGAATTGCTTGAACCTGGGAGCCAGAGGTTGCAGTGAGCCGAGATCGCGCCATTGCACTACAGCCTGGACAACAGAGTAAGACCCCATCTCAAAAAAAAAAAACCTCACAGAAATAGCCCTTTATGTAATTCTGTCTTTTCATCTCCTTAAATACAAATTATATAAGTTTTGAGCTATTTTTTTCTGTCTTTAGTGTATCTAATTGTTTTATGACTATAAACGTTATGTACTTTTCCATTTAATTTTGCCTGCTGTCCGCAAGCCTATTTTTTATGTTTCTGCTTCCTTTTTCAATAAGAATATGCTCCTTTTTGTTGCATCAAATATAGCTTTCATTTATGCATTCAGTTTCCTTTTCTATCCAATTACTAACATCCTGTGCTATATTTGATCGTGATTCTTTTCACATATTTTACATTTACTGTTAGTTTTTCACCCTTTATTTGAGTTTTCGTTTCTATTTTTTAACTTTTGATATAATTATTTTACATTATATATTTTTGTGTGCTATTTGATTCTCACCTTATTTTCTTATATTATGTAGGTATAGGTCCCTATATGTTATTATTCATTTAACATTATGAATGACTTGAATAATCGATTTTTGAACACAGGGTAAAATCAAAGAGCAAAGTTGTTAGCTGAGTTGCAAAGAAAAGTGAATATAAGTAATTTGCTTGTAATTTTTTTCCAAAACTGTTTCCTGCCATGTGATGTGCCTGGTAGGACAACTGTGATCATGGCTGTCAATGTTCGGTATGTCTTCTATCAGAAAAATCAGCAAAACCCTGCATGTCCCATGTTTGTTGTTTTATTTTTGTTTTTGCCCTTGAGTGGCAATTTAGTTTTATTCGTTTTTTGTTTTTTATTCTTCAGCTGGCTGTAATTGGCGGCAGCTGTCCTCTGCTCCACACTGCTACCTGCCACACTGTGAGCCTGTTTCTCACTAAGAGGTTGCGATACATGCATCTTCATCTCGTTAAACCAAGCTCTTTCCCAGACTTTGCCTTTAAAAACGAAGCCAACATTACCCAATTGTCTAATACTTTAGAGGCTTGTTTCTTTGCTGAGCATTACCCCTTGACTGGATCCGAATATCTTTAAATGACTTTTGGATAATGATTCAGGGTTGTTTTAGATTTTGATTCCATTTACAATTATTCATCTCTGTATTTTGTTCTCTGTGTTTTCAAAGAAATGCACTAGGTAGTATGTTAATAGGTGCAATTATTTAATAAAGTGGAAAGTATTATAGATCTTATTTTTTTAGATTATTTTTGTAGCAGAGTACATGAAAGCTTAGAATGGAGGAAATAGCAAAAACTTAAAACTCAAACATTTTGTGATAGAATATAAATCATTTTATTTATGCAACTTTCTAAGTTTATTCTGTAAATATAACCTTTTAAAATTTTATTTTTAATTGAAGAACAATTGCATTTATATATTTACGGGATGCAGTGAGATGTGAATACCTTGCAGAATGATTAAATCAAGCTAAATAAAATTGCCATTACTCCACCAACTTCTCGCTTTTCTATTAGCAAATTTGAAATATACAATGAGTTATTATAAACATAGACATCTTGCAGTGCAATAGATCACTACAACTTCTTTCTCCTGTCTAATTGAAACTTTGTATTATTTGACCAACATCTCTCTTTTTCCTATCCCACTCCTCTACCCCACAACTTCTGGTAACCACCATTTTATCTGCATTTTTATGAGTTCGACTATTTTAGATTCCACATATAAGATCATGCAGTATCTATCTTTCTGTGCCTGGCTTTTTTTCACTTAACATAATGTCCTCTTTTTAAATTCAGGTTGTCACCGATGACACAATTTTATTCTTTATTAAGGTTATAAAGTGTTCGATCTGGTATATATAGCACATTTTCTTTATCCATTCACCCATTGATAGACCTTGGCATTGCTTCCATATTTTAGCTACTGTGAATAGTGCTGCAATGAACATGGCAGTGCAGATATCTCTTCAAAATAATAAATTCATTTTTTTGGATATATACCCAGAGGTTGAGTTGCTGGATCACATGGTAATTCTATTTTAGTTGTTTTAGGGACTTCCATATAGCTTTACATAATGGCTGTACTAATTACATTCCCAAAAACAGTGTGTAAGGGTTCCCTTTTCTACACATCCTTGTCATCACTTGTTGTCTTTTGTCTTTTTAAATAATATACATTCTAACAGAAGTGAGTTAATATCACATTTTGATCTGAATTGCATTTCCCTAATGATTAGTGATGTTTAACATTCTGTCATATACTTGTTAGCCGTATGTCTTTTTTTATTTTTTATTCTTTTTTTGAGACAGAGTCTCGCTCTGTCACCCAGGCTGGAGTGCAGTGGCACAATCTCGACTTACTGCAACTTCTGCCTCCTGGGTTCAGGCAATTCTCCTGCCTCAGCCTCCCAAGTAGCTGGGAATACAGGTGCGTGCCACCATGCCTGGCTAATTTTTTTGTATTTTTAGTAGAGACGGGGTTTCACTGTGTTAGCCAGGATGGTCTCAATCTTCTGACCTCATGATCCTCCTGCCTCGGCCTCCCAAAATGCTGGGATTACAGGCGTGAGCCACCACGCCCGGCCTCATAGGTCTTCTTTTGAGAAATTTCTGTTCAGGTCCTTTGCCTTTTTAAAAAATTAGGTTATGTGTTTTCTTGTTATTGACTTGACTCCTTTATACATTTTGTATATTATCTTCTTATTAGATGTATCATGTGCAAATTTTTTATCCCATTCTCTAGGTTGTCTCTTAAATCTGTTAATTGTTTTCTTTGCTGTGCAGAAGCTTTTTAGCTTGATACAATTTCATTTCTCTCTTTTATGCTTTTGTTACTTGTACTTTTGTGGGCATATCCAAGAAACCACTGCCAAAGCCAATTTTACAGATCTTTTTCCTGTATTTTATTCTGGTAGTTTCACATTTTCAAGTCTTATGTTTACATCTTAAATTCATTTTGAGTTACTTTTTGTGTATAGTGTGAGATAAGAATCTAATTTATTTTTGCTTTTACTTTATTTCACTATTCTCTTGCTGTCATTGAGTAGCTTTATTGGTTTTCTAGGACTGTCTTAAGAAAGTACCAAAACAAAGTGGCTTACTAAACAAAATTGCATTGTCTCACAACTGAAGGCTTGAAGTCTGAGATCAAAGTGACTTCAGGGCTGCTCTTCCTCCAAAGGCACCGGGGAAGGATCTGTTCCAGTTTTCTCTCCTAGCTTCTGATGGTTCCTTGGTTTGTGACAGCATAACTCCATCTTCATGTGGGTTTCTCCGTGTGTGTGTGTGTGTGTGTGTGTGTGTGTAATTTAATTTTCACATATTATTCCAAGTTACTATTTTTAATTTTTACTATCAATTGAGTTTTTTATATTGTTTTCATTTTTCTAATAAAAAGTAAACGTGTTTTTTGCCACACAAAGTTATCAGCTTTCAATAATATCACAATCTGAATTAAGGTTTCATTTTCTGTTGACTATTCATCTTAGGTTTTGCACCAATGATACCCTGCATCAAACTTCGCATAAAAATCTAATATGGGGGCTGTTTAGGAGGCTTTTCAGTTTTTCTACTCCACTTTATAGGTCTTACCCAAGGAGCCAGGAACCCAATGTGGGGTCCAAGTACGGTAAAAAGTATATTATACTAATTACATACTTGGTGACCAGGGAAATAGCCACTGACAGTGCCTATAGATTTAGTGAACCCACTGTGAGCTGACTTTGCTGAGGATTCCATTTCATTACCTGAATACCATGTGCACTTGCAATGGTACTATAGAGTACTTTATTCTTTCAGTTTGAAAACAGATAAGGACAGGAACACTAGGCAAGGGATCATGATCTGCCATTGGATTAACTATCTTTGGCCTCCTATCAGTTTTGTTTAGTTTATTCTGATGTTAGAAGCTGAGTAATAACACTTTCTGGCTGCCATCAATTTTGTCCTGATTAACCATCTCCATTATCTTCTTTTTCCTTGAGCCCTGTGATGGTTGATTTCATGTGTTAAATTGGCTAGGCTTTCATGTACAGTGTTTGGTGAAACACTGATTGAGATATTGCTATGAAGGTATTTTTGAGATGTGATTAATTTTTAAATGAGTGTACCTTGAGTAAATGAGATTATTCTCTTTAATGTAGTTGGACCGCATCCAACCAGTTAAAAGACTGATGTCTCCCCAAGTGGAAAGAATTTTGCTTTCAGACCCAGGAATGTAACATTAACTCTAGCTGGAGTTTCCAGCCTACCAACCAGCCCTAAAAATTTCAGACTTTCTAGCTATAATAATAGCACGAGCCAATTCCTTAAAATAAATTTCTGTCTGTAGCTGTATATATGGCTAGATATAAATGCAGAAATTTATATGTGTGTATACACACACATGTACACACACATCCTTTTGGTTCTGTTTGTATGGGGAACTCTAATACGGGCACTTTTGGCTGCTACTCTGACCTTGTATATAACGGGTAAGCACCTCCACATGACCTCTGTTGTTTCAGTATCCTCTCATCCTTTTTGTTATAAATGAACCAACTTCTCTAATGGCCTCCTTTGTAATTAACCACGGCTTATAAAGGAGAAGCATTGCTAAAATAATGATTTGAACCCCTTTTATTAGGGCCTTATTTTGGCTTATATCTTGGGGCTTCCCATGTGACATTATTGCCTGGTGGCTTTTCTGCCTTAACACGTACTCTAACATGGACTGAACCTTCCATTCCTTCAGTATTCGTAAAAATTCTGGCTTACTCAACATTTTCCATGCTTCTTGGGGCCATGATAGCAACAAATTTACACTACCTCATGGAACCCTTGCCAGAGTGATAATCTTATATCTCAGAAGAGGGCTCCTAAATTAATGAATTCTCCCTCACCCACATTTCTGTTCCAACCTCCTAGGTTAAATACCCTCAAAATTTAGTTCCATGCATACTCTCGGTGCTCATGATAACCCATGCTAGCCAGGTTTTGCAGCGGTTTTGTAATACTTCTTTCCCAAACCCTCATCGAGTTCAGTATGTCCCCAGTTGCATAAAGCTGCAACTTCTCCCTCGTTACAAGCCTAATGACCAAGAGTGGGGATAGGGTCAGTTCCTTAGAGGGACATATATTGTCTCACAGTAGAGAAGACATTCTTCAGTTTACTTAGGAAAAGAGGTTTTTGAGTCTTAAGTGGAGAGTTGAGCCACTTTTCTAGGGACTGAAGATACATGAGAAATTACAATTTTGAGGGACAACTCAGATAGCACCATGCCATATGTTTGAGTCCCTTTATTTTCCAAGCAGACTTTGTACATTGGCATAAGAAAAATAACTTTTTTTGAGAGTTTAAATTTCTTTGGAATTCAGCTACTCTGATGATTAGGGCTAATCCCTAGGCTTTTTCTGCCCTTCAGCTACATGAGATAAAAGCCTCTTCTTAAATTGTCAAGAGAACTCTTTGGTTTTCACATAGGTTTTCATTTGCCTATTAATCTCTCTCAGCCTTTTGTTATCTTTGCCTAGAGTTCAGTGAAACTTAGCAAAAGACACTCAATTCCATTTTCTTTGCAATTACTATTTCCCCCACATTTTTCAAACAATTGATAAATCTATACCAGCTAGTGCATTCTTCTGCACAGGTGTGCTATGACAATTCATACTCAGTAAAGTTTTACAATTAGAATATCACGTTTTGTGAAGGTCTGTCTGAGATCAGCCTGCTAACAATGATGAGGGGCTCACTGCTAAGGGTAGTGCATAATCTAGATCTAACACCCCATCTTATCACGTGCTTTCCCAGACCACCTTTGGCACAAATGTTTGCAGATTAGCTTTTATGACAGGCACTACAATGAAGTATAATGTGTACATTAGTTTAATACCACATCATAACAAATACCACAGACTAGGTGCATTAAACAACAGAAATTTATTGTATTATAGTTCTGGAACTGGCTGGGCTGGTTTCTCCAGAGGCCTCTGTCTTGGCTTGCAGATGGCCACTTTCTCACTGCATCCTCTCTTCTGTTCATGTGGCACCACAGCTGTTTCTCTATGCATCCTAATTTCTCCTTATAAGGCCATTAGTAAAATTGAATTGGGCCCCACCCTAATGGTCTCATTTCAATTTAGTTACCTGTTTAAAAGACATATGTCCAAAGACAGTCACATTCTCAGGTACTGGAGTTAAAGCTTCAACATATGAATTCAAGAAGGACACAATTCAGCCCATAAAAGTGTGGAAGTTATTGCTTGAAATGTCTTTGGAATCAAAATATGTGGAAGGGAATGAAAAGAAGTGGGATTGGAAAGAAGGAGAATACAAATTGCTGCATTGCGGGCCTGAAGGATAACCTTAGATTGCCCCAGGAGTAGCTTTGAAGCAGTTTTAACCACCAGAGTTGTGCTGTATTGGGCCAAAGTTTCCAGGCTTTGTAGCCTTATTTAATCAGTTATGAGATGCATGGACCTCAAAAAGCACATGACTCTGCAGCTGAGGCATTGCCTGAAGGAGCTTAGGGGCAGAGACTACCTGCTGACAGCACTCCCAGCATTTGAGGCAAAAAGTCGCACTTTGTAGTAAAATATGGGTAGCATGTCATCTTCCCCGTCACAATCCTTCTTCCTCTAGGCTCATTCACATTTAAATTTAACCATATTATATTTCCAATTGTAATTTTTCATGAGAGAATCAAGTACACAAAAAGTTGATTATTAATTTTGAAAAACCCAACTTTCTTCCTAGATTTATACTACTTATAAGTATGGGGACATGAACTTCTCATGTTTTTGCAGGTAATTAAATTTAAAAATATGATATAATTTATTGAGCGATATTAGTCTAAAATTGTTGCAGGAAGTCCGGGACCCCAAACGGAGGGACCGGCTGAAGCCATGGCAGAAGAATGTGGATTGTGAAGATTTCATGGACATTTATTAGTTCCCCAAATTAATACTTTTATAATTTCTTATGCCTGTCTTTTCTGCAATCTCTAAACATAAAATGTAAAGATTTCATGGACACTTATCACTTCCCCAATCAATACCCTCGTGATTTCCTATGCCTGTCTTTACTTTAATCTCTTAATCCTCTCAGTTGAGGAGGATGTATGTTGCCTCAGGACCCTGTAATAATTGCATTAACTGCACAAATTGTACAGCATGTGTGTTTGAGCAATATGAAATGTGGGCACCTTGAAAAAAGAACAGGATAACAGCAATTGTTCAGGGAATAAGAGAGATAACCTTAAACTCTGACTGCCAGTAAGCCGGTGGAACAGAGCCATATTTCTCTTCTTTCAAAAGCAAATGGGAGAAATATCACTGAATTCTTTTTCTCAGCATGGAACATCCCTGAGAAAGAGAATGCGCACCTGGGGGTGGGTCTCTGAACTGGCACCCCTGGGCGTGGTCGTCTCTTATGGTCGAGACTGCAGAGGTGAAATAGACTCCAGTCTCCCATAGCGCTCCCAGGCTTATTAGGAAGGGGAAATTCCCGCCTAACAAATTTTGGTCAGACCAGTTGATCTCAAAAACCCTGTCTCCTGATAAGATGTTATCAATGACAATGGTGCCCGAAAATTCATTAGCAATTTTAATTTTGCCTGGGTCCTGTGGTCCTGTGATCTTGCCCTGCCTCCATTTGCCTTGTAATATTCTATTACCTTGTAAAGTACTTGATGTCTGTGACCCACACCTATTCGCACACTCCCTCCCCTTTTGAAACTCCCTAATAAAAACTTGCTGGTTTTTGCGGCTTGTGGGGCATCACGGAACATACCGACATATGATATCTCCCCCGGACGCCCAGCTTTAAAATTTCTCTCTTTTGTACTCTGTCCCTTTATTTCTCAAGCTGGCCAACGCTTAAGGAAAATAGAAAAGAAACTACGTGAATATCGGGGCAGGTTCCCCAATACAAAATATGACAATGTTATTTACAAAAAAAATCTCTAGCATGTCAATAGTTTAGGTACTAGAGAAAATCTAAATCAAGATGTAATAAAAACAGATATTTTATCTGATAATCAGCATAGTTAGAGGTAAAATATTTTCTGTCGTTACATAATACATTACTCATCAATTCTGAAATAGAGCTTCAAACAGCATGAATAATTTGTTTTCATATCTCTTTAAATCATTTTTTATTATCACTTGGCAGTTCTTGCAAGACCAATAAGCATTGAGTTCTCAATTCTGAAAACAGCAGGGATTTTGCTTGGAATTTCTAGTACATAATTAATGGGTCAGTTATAAACACAAAGCAGATTCAGTTTGTATTATCCAAAGACAGTTTGAAATGGCAGGTGTTTTAATGCTTCCTAACATCTCTAATAATTCTTGGCTTGATGCTTTAATGCCTGAAACTATGTACAATGAAAACTCATGTTGTGAAAATGCCACACAGACATTATAAGTCAGAGGCATATTTGCAAAGACAGCAGGAAACTAGAAAAAATAAAGTCAGTGTATTTCTAAATAACCTGCCTAGAGTATGATCTTAGCATACCCTAGCAAGATGAACATACTGGAAGTTCTGAAGAGAAATTTATTTTTTTATAATTAGTAGAAAAAAGAGATAAATTGCCTCATTGTTAGATTTATAATGATGTACATTTTGAATTATGGGGGATAAAAACAGGTTTCAATTTCATTGTAATAAATTGAATGCATTCAGTATTTGTGAATTTGAATTGTGTGATCATGAGTAGATGTGCTGTATAGCACCTTACCTTCAAACCTCTCAGCCTATTAATTCTCAAATATGATTTTTTAGCTTATTGCTTTTTAAAATTAATCTGTTAATCTTTTTTCCTTTTTTTTTTTTTTAAGGCACGATCTCACTTTGTCACTCAGGGTGGAGTGTGGTGGCGTGATCGCAGCTAACTGCAGCCTTGACCTCTCAGGCTAAAGCGATCCTCTTACCAAGACCACAGGTACACATGATCACACCCAATCAATTTAATTTATTCTTATTTATTTATTTATTTATTTATTTTTTTAGTGATGAGAGCCTCCTTATGTTTTCCAGGATAGTTTTGAACTCCTGGGCTGAAGCAATCTTTCTGCTTCAACCTCTCAAAATACTGAGATTACAGGGGTGATTGCACTCAGCCCAATTTCTAAATGACATCTCAATTTCATTTTTAACTTACTTTTTGAAAATATATTATTGGAAAGATTGCTCTATGATGTTTTTCCCAAATAAATGCTAAGTAGAGATGACTTAAAGTTTATAGATACAAAGTATATACATATAGTTGTTTATTGAGAAAAATTTGATGTTTTTCATCATAATGATTTATATAATGTTTAGCTGTAAAATATTCAGTGTCTCTGTCTATATGTCTATACAAACATAGAGGTGAATTCTTTCAAAGCAAGCACAGAGGGTATTTGGATGAGGTAAACTTTCATAAACATAAATGTGTAATTTATGATTGGTATATTAATTATAGGTTGCAAGCATATTTACTACCATTGGCTTAGACATAATAGTGGTAAAGTTACATGACTTCACCGACCTAAAATGTAATAACCAATAAGGTTACAAAATAGCAATGCAGGATCCATTGGTTGTGTTTGTTGTGGTTTAGTTAACATAGAAAAGTGAATGTACAAATTAAAATTTGCAATATTCCATAAGTAGCATCAAGACATCCTTTCACTTTAAACTAGCCTGAGTAAAATATACTATTGGACATTAAAATGAAAATTACTTTTCATACCAAGAACCCACATGCCATACAACTTTTGATCCTAAGTAAATTATCCTATTCAACATAACCTTCAAATGAAAATATAAATCCCCTGTAAATATATCCTTACTTGTTCCATTATAAGCTTCTTCTATATCCTATGGTGCTTCTCTATATGTTGGACACTTATTTCCTTAAACACATCTTGTCTGCAAATGTGAAAATATCTAAGCCCAATTAGATTTCAGCCTATGTATTTCAAAGGTTTAATAAAGAGCCATCTTGTTTGCTTAATCTTTGCATGAAATTGCAAATATGTAAAGTTACACTATTTAAGTGTTGTGCACATATATTGAGAATTACATTTTACTAACTGAGCAAGCATCAGTGAGAGAGAGAAAAAGATAACCTTTACTAATACATAACCAAATGGTCAAAGGTATGGATTTCAGCAGTTATAAAGAGCTATGGCTTCAGGTGTATCTTAGATGTTAAACTCTACTGAAGAAACAGCTCCTTTTTGGTTCTTTGCTTGGTTGCATGAGACACTAATTCTCAGCGCTGAAGATTATCTCACACTCCAGTGACTTTGGTGCCTTAGTGTAATCATCTGCTATGTACTTGTTCTGTGCTTCACAGATACACTGCAGGAAACAGAGCAGTCATAAAGGATAAAAAGCTATAAAAGGCTACAGGCAGCTTCATCCTAATACTTACCATTTTCTTTAGATTTCAAACAAAATCTCAAATTTTATTTTAAGAGTTAATTAAAAAAAAATCTGTAGATTA
This sequence comes from Homo sapiens, assembly GCF_000001405.40. NCBI lineage: Eukaryota > Metazoa > Chordata > Mammalia > Primates > Hominidae > Homo > Homo sapiens. The sequence goes on along the minus strand of NC_000004.12, from coordinate 131,159,254 downwards.
ACATCTAGGGATTCTCCAAATCTGCCCCAACTCTTTTCTCTCACAATAAGTTCACTAGTTCTTGCCTGGTAAGACATTGTGGATAAAGATTTCAGATAACTTCTTGTTTCTTCAATTTTGATAGATGTAATTTAATTATAATGTGATAAAGAGGTTTGGAATTTATACTAGAATGGCACATGTAAATATGACTTTCCACAACATATTCTAAATTAGCGTATTAAAACAGTTGAAGACATTCAAACAAATATTCCACTATTATTCTCAATATCTTTATAGTTTACTAATAAAAAATTTTAAGTGGATTTTAAATAAAATATTCTTTGTAAGCATTTAAATATTACAAGATCAGTGATATGGTTTGGCTGTGTCCCCATTCAAATCACATAATATATATATATATATATGTATATAGTGTGTATATATATGTATATAGTGTGTATATATATATGTGAAGTAGATGGGAAAGTGTATATATATATGTCTCTATATATAGAAGTAGATGGGATCGTATATCTATACTTATATATGATAGTGTATATATAGTATATATATGTGTATATATATAGGTAGATGGGATAGTATATATACGTATATATATAATATATATATGTGTGTGTATATATATATACACACATACATACATACATACATACATGTTTTCCTTGCTCTTTCAGTTGAGAGGGTCTAGAAACAAGGACACCTCAGTAGCAACTAACGTTTGAACTCAGGTTTTGTTATCTAATATCATTTTCCAATAATAGGAACTAGAATTTCTTGGAGAAATGACTGATTCTAGACTAAAAAAGGGAATAGTTAAGATGAGCCAGAAAGTAAAGAAATACTTAATCAAAACCCACAATGATGAAGATATGTCAAAAGAACACAGGAACCAAATGAAAACATTCTCCATTCTTAGATGAATTTGAGAAATGATATAAAAACATAGTATTGGATTATAACCCAAAGTCTGTACTGATATTAGTAAATGCCTGAATAAATAAGTAGACAAACTGTCCATACAGAAAAAATCCACCTAATTTCTGTAGATACATCCCTCTCAAAAAAGAGGAACAACACTCTCTCTTCAGCATGGGCTGTGTGTGTGTAGGGACTTCTTTCTAAAAAGTCCAGTATAGAAAAAAAACAAAGGATCAATTCTACAGTGGAGAAACCTGACAAAATTATTTCAGCCAGGCCATCAAAGTCAACATCACAAGTCAGGTCAGTAACATATATCCTTGAGGTGATGTGATGAGATTGGCACTTTACCTCTCGACTCCTCTGCCTAAAAACCCATATCCCCAGTATAATCACAAAATACATCAGACAAACCCAACTGAGGTATATTCTAAAAAATACTTAACAAATATTTCTCACATGGATCAGGGACATAAAAAATAAGTAAAACTAGAGTAACTGTTACAGTCTAGAGAAACCTAAAGAAACGTTATGAATAAATGTATTGTGGTATCATGAATGGGATCCAGGAAACAAAAAGGGACATTAGGAAAAACCTTATAGATTGTAAACAGGTATGGACTTGTTATTATTTGTGAAAAGCCTACAATACTAATGCAATTTGTTAGCAATAGGGGACTCTGAATGAGGAATATATATAAATTCACTGTATTAGTTTCAAAACCTTTCTGCAAGTATAAAAGTTCTAAAATAACAAAATATTTTTTAAATTGCATAGATCTTGTCAAGTGGCCATCCAGAAGGTCATGATAATTTATATTTTTACTGTTTTTGAGAGGATGTATGTCTTTGCAACCTTGCCAATACTATTTTATTTTTTAAATGTTGTAAATCTTTCAGAAAAAAATAGTTAAAATTCACTGGTTTAGTGGGTATGTCCTTGAATTCTAGTAAGATAATTCTACTTTTAATACATTTTGTAGCCATTTCTATTTATTTTTATTGAAATAGTCACATATCTTTTGCCAAGTTCTCATTAATTTGATTGTCTCTATTTGCTAGGAGTTCTATACATAGTTTGAATTGTTAGTCTTTTCTCTATTGTATACTTTTCAAAAGTTTCCCAAAGGTTATCAATTGTTCTTTAATTTTTTATTAAAAACTTTAATAGTTTCCATGGCTTTAATATTTCCTGTTTTTATTTGCTTAAGAAGGTTTTCCCTAATCTTCTTAGGTTGGAAAACTTCACATATATTTTTCTGTAGAATAATTATTGACTTTTTAGTTCTCCTGGAGTAAATTTTTTGTTCATAACATATGATGGGGTCTAATTTATGGATAGGAAATTGATGTATTCTTTTTCCATTGTAATCTAAATGTTACAAACCTATATAAAAAAACTTTGTTTTGGCACTTTCTGTTTCTTTTCAGAAGTATATTTGTATTTGAATCTGGCAATTTCAGAGTGGATTAATGCTTAGCAGGTGTGATTTCATAATATATCTTTTTCTCTTGTAAGGTGTTTTTAATTGCATTATTTTCAAATATTTTTCATAGATATCAATAACAACATATAAATACTTACTTTATGGATTTTGCCTGTGATGTGGTAACTAAAAACTCATCACCAAACCTAAGGTTATGTAGGTGTTCTGTGTTTCTTTTGGTAGTTTGATAGTTTTGTGTTTTACATGTAGATTCCACTTTGAATTAATTTTTGTGCGAGTCATTTTTGAGAGTCATTTGTTGTTGGAAACACTATTCTTTTTTCACTGAACTACCTTTGTTTCTTTGTCAAAGATTAGTTGACTATGCTTGTGTGGGTTTATTTCAGGGATCCATGTTTTGTTCCATTAATATATAGATCTATACTTTCTCCAATACCACACTGTCTTTGTTACTGTAGATTCATTGTAAGTCTTGAAATTTTTGTGGTGTAAGTATTCTAACTTTGTTTTTTATTAATATTCTGTGTCTTATTCCAAGTCACTTACCTTTTCATATAAATTTTCAAATCAATTTGCTAATATATAAAAATAGCTTTTTTATTGCAGTTGGGTTTGTGTTGAGTCTATAAATCAAACTGACATTTTAACAATATTGGTTCTTCTAATCTATGACCACAAAAACCTTTCCATTTCATTAGATATTTGGAGTCTTTCATTAACATTTTACAGTTTGTGACATACGGATTCCATAAACATTTTGTTAGATTCATACCTAAGCTTCACTTTTGGTTGCCATTGTATATGTTATTGCTTTGCAGTTTAAAATTCTGCTTATTGTTGGAAATGGAAAGCAATTGACTTTTTGTATATTGAATTCTATCCTGTGACCTTCTAAAGACTCTCTCATTAGAGCCAGGTTTTTTTTTTCTCATCTAAGTTCTTTGAGCTTTTCAACATAGAAAACCATGCCATTGATGAATAGAGCTTTATTTATTTATTTACAATTTATATATTTTATATTTTTATATCATTTTACTTTTCCTACTGTACTAGCTATATATTCCAGTATAATGTTGAATAGGAATAACAAGAGAGTACATCCTTACCTTTTTCCTGATATTAAGGTAAAGAGTTTAGGCTTTCATCATTATGTACAATTTTTGTTGTCTGTAGGTTTTTAATATATTATTTTTTATAATAAGTAGTTCCCTTTTACTCCTAGTTTTTGAGAAATTGTCTATCAAGAATATGCAATAAATATTGTTGGGAGATTTTGCGGCATCTATTGATATAATCTTTTTTCTTATTCAGTCTGTTGATATGATGAATGGCTTTGATTGTTTTATAAATGTTGAACCAGTCTTGTATTACTGGGATTAACATTCCTTGGATATGATGTACTACCCATTTTGTATATCACTACATTTGTTCTTCTAATATTTTCCTGAGAATTTGTTTGTTTATGAGGAATATTGGTCTGATTTTTTTTTTTTTTTGTAATGACTTTTTCTGATTTTGTGTTGTAGTTAATGCTGGCTTATAAACTGAAGTGGGAAGTGTGTGTGTGTGTGTGTGTGTGTGTGTGTGTATTTTCTCCTTAAATGTGTGGTAGAATTCACCCACAAAATCATTTAGTCATAAGTTTTCTTTCTTTGAATAGTTTTAATTGTTACTTATATTTTGAGTAGATACGAAGATATTTAATTATATTTTTCTCCCTGAGTGAGTTTGGTAATTTGCAGGCTTTCAGAAAAATTGGTGTGTTTCATGTAGGTTATCAAGTTTTGGGGCATGGAGTAACTTGTAATATTTGCTTATTATCCCTTTAATGTCCATGGCAATAGTGATAAGGGCTGTTTTATTTCTGATTATGGTAATTTATGTCTTTCTCTCTCTCTCTCTTTTTTCTTTCTTGCTCCTTTTTTTTTCACTCTCCCTCCTTTTGTTAGCATAGCTAGAAGTTTATCAATTTTATTAGTCTTTTTAAATATTAGCTTTTAATTTTACTAATTTTCTTTATTGCTTTCTGTTTTCAACTTTATCGATTTATGCTCCAATTTTTATTATTTTATTTTGCTTGCCTCAGACTTAAATTATTCTTCTTTCTCCAGTTTACTGAAATATAATCTTTTGTTATTGTTCTATTATCTTTATTTCTTTAAGTATATGCATTTAATATAATAACTCTTTGTTTTCATTTTTGTCCACAGGTTTTGGTTTATAACTTGCACAGCCTTTGTTACAGTCTTTTGTATTAATGTTGGGTGTGTTAGTCCTCAGGGACGGGCCTCAGGAAATAGAATCTCTCTTACTTTCTCCTGACTTCCTTTCACCTGCCCTAAGGTAGGATTCTAATCTTCCTCCAGCTTTCTCACTGTAGGTATTAATGTCCTTCCCAGAGACAGCCCCACTCTATACCCTGGGGGAAGAAATACAGATATTGAGAAGCTTCCATGAAAACCCAAGAGGACTGAGTTCAGAAAACTTGCAGATAGCTGAACAAATGAAGGTCCCTGGAGAATGGCGCACCCAAGGAGGGCATAGAAGCTTCATGTCTTATCCCCTATACCTCACCCGTATCCTTTGTAATATCCTCTATAATAAACTGGTGAAAGTAAGTAAGTGTTTCCCTGAGTTCTGTGAGCCAGCTAATTAATCAAACCCAAACAGGTGGCCTTGGGAACCCCAACTCGAAGCTGGTTGGTCAGAAGTTCTGGAGGCTCAGACTTGTGACTGGTGTCTGGGTTGTTGGGTGTAGTCTTGGGTACTGAGCACTTCAACCTGTGGGATATGTCACTATCTCCCAGTAAGTAGTGTTGGCATTGAATTGGAGGACATTCAGCTGGTGTGCGCTGCTCCGTGTGTGGGAAGACAAGAGTCTTCTTCTCTGTTGATGATTGTTTGGGTGGTGTGAGAGTAGAGAAAAAACATTGTTTGAGAGTTTTTCTGAGACATCAGAGTTGACCTCTATTCATTATACAATGAATTTATCTCTTACAATTTTTCATATTCTAAATACCGTTTTGTCTAAAATTAATATATATGTTTCAGCCCTCTTTTATTAATTAGTGTTAGCATGGCATGTTTTTCTCTACTCCTTTACTTTGAACTTATCTGGACTTTTATACTTAAGTGGATTTGATGTAAACAACACATAAATAGCCTTATTTTCAGGGTTTTATTTAATCTGCTCTAGCATTATCTCTTTTTATTATTTCAGTTTACAAATTTTAAAATACATTTTATAATTTACATCATGAAGTCAGTTGTTCAGAGTGGTAAAAAATTTTGTTGTTATTGTTGAAAAAGGGATAGTTTTATCTTTTTAGAAGAATTGTTGAAATGGTATTCGTGGGGAATTGGTTTCTAGAGTCACCTGAGAATACCCAAATCCATGGATGCTCCAGTCCCTTATACAAAATGGCATAGTATTTGTAAAAACCTACTCACATCCTTCTGTATATTTTAAGTCATCTATAGCTTATTTATAATATCTATTACAATGTAAGTATTGTGTAAATCATTGTTATACTGTATTAAGAAATAATGACAAAAAATGTCTGTACATGTTTAATAGAGATGCAACTATCCTTTATTTTTTTCTAAATATGTTTGAATCATGATTGATTGAATCTGCAGATGCAGAACACACGGATACAGATGACCTACTGTAGAAATATAATCAACTGACTAACACAGCTCTGAAATTTAGTAGGAACAAAAAATAGTTCTTATTGTCACAATCAGCATGAGAATATATAATAATTTTGTGATATTTTAAGGAGGCAGATTTTCTAGAAGTTTTATGTAGGAAATACATTGATAAGGCATTCCTCTTTCTAGTTCAAGTAGGTTTCATTTTTTACCTCAGATAAGATCTAGTAAAATTTAAAAGTTAAAAATATCACATCAATTGCCTGTATAAGAAAACTACACAGACAATCTGCCAGAAAACAGTGTTTAAAGAAAAAGAGATAAAACTTAAAGATTGTTCACTTATAATGCCATTTCAGCAAATAAAGAAAATTAACAAAACATATCTGAAAATGACTATTAAAATCATGTACATAAATCGAAAATTTTGAAATTGCTGAAAGGGTACCAAAAACTGGCCAAAAACTCTATGCATGCCTTTGGAGATTTTCTTAGAAAAATATAACATGGGTCACCCACACAAAGGATAGAAACAGTTACATAATTTCTGAAGGGATGAAATGAGAACTAAATAAGAACAGAACATCTTGTAGCTACTGTTTTTCAGAGAGTTTTTGCCTTAGTGAAAAGTGTTCCAAATTAATTTTTATATAAGATTATAATTTTAACAAATCTATAGTAACACAATTATAGTTCTCATTCAAAGATTTTGATTAGTAATGCTCAACAAATTTTGTATTTAAAAAAATTCTATAAGTAAAAATATATCAGGTGTAACTGTGAGCTGATGGCTACATTAATGTGTTTCACTATAGTAATTTTGCTACAAATACAAATCTCAAAACATAAGTTTGTATATCTTAAATATACAAAACAAAGCTTATTTTAAAATAAATAAATTAATTAAAATATTATGTCAGAGCATTTTTAGGGAGGTGAAAATACTCTGTATAGTATATAATGATGGATATATGTCGTTATGTATTTATCCAAACCGATAAAATATACACAACCAAGAGGGAAACCTTATGTAAACGATAAACTTTGGTGATTATGATGTGTCAATGTAGGTTCATTAATTGTAGCAAATTACCACTCATATGGAGAATACTGGTAAAGAGGAAGGCTACTATGCATATGGTGGAGAGCAATGGGATATTTGGAAGGTCTCCATACCATCCTCTTATTTTTGCTGTGAACCTAAAACTGCTCTTCAAAAAAAAAGAAACTTAAACGAAAACATTACATCATTTATAAATTAATATATATACAATGCCATTTTGCTTTCTTCAAATGGTATCATAATCATCTTTACCATCACTATTACCATCATCAATATCACCATCATAGGTATTTATGTTGAATTCTGATCACATATTACATAGAGCTACAAGCAATTGCCATGCTTATAGTTAAAATTACTATCAGGGTGACTCATGCATGTAATCCCAATACTTTGGGAGGCCGAGGCGGGTGGATCACCTGAAGTCAGGAGTTCGAAATCAGCCTGGCCAACATGACGAAACCCCGTCTCTACTAAAAATACAAAAATTAGCCGGGTGTGGTGGCAGGTGCCTGTAATCCCAGCTACTCAGGAGGCTAAGGCAGGAGAATTGATTGAACCTGGAAGGTGGTGGTTGCAGTGAGCCCAGATTGAGCCACTGTACTCCAGCCTGAGCGACAAGAGCGAAACTCCATATTAAAAAAAAAATTACTATTTTTATTCTGATATTATGCTGGAGTAGATAAAATTATTCCAATCACACATGAGAAATCTGAAAACTTACAAAGCTTGTGTGATTTGTCTAAGGACTCATATACAGGGAATGGTGGAGACAAGGCCTATCTGACTCCAAAATCTGGCTCCTGAAGGGGTGCCTATAAGCCCTGTGCAACATGTCTCCCCATCAGTTTTTTTAAATAGAGAAATCCTTCAAAATATTAGAAAATATTTTTAACACAGAGATTAATAAACAATTTATAAAGACAGGTGAATGTTCAGTTTTCAGTTGCTATTAATTGTATGTGATCATATTCTTAACTCATTTTCAAATATGGATTATAAAATGTGTTTAATAAAAATAAAAAACAATGCAATTAACGAATTTGTAAGCTTTCTAGGAAAGTGCAAACTTGTATGCATAGCAATGATCTTCATTCTAATGTAAAGTAGTAAAATCGTACTGTAAAAAGTATGCATATTAAAATCCTCCAAAGAAATTAAACTGTTACTCTTTAGGGTCATAAGTAAACTAAAATAATCATTAGCTCTAGATGTATTATATCTGCAATTAATTACTTAACTAATTTATTTAATTACATTTACTTAAATATTACAAACATTACTTTGAATTATTATTTTATGTAAAAAAGGATGATGCAGTTAAATATAAAACAAAATTAGCTATAAAACACAAATATGTAATATGTGTGTCATGAAAAGTTTACATATACACATTTATTTTTAAAACGTTGTCAGAATAATATGCCTAGGTTTTCCTCACTTTCAAAAAGTATTTTGGTGAATAATCTGTAACATTCATTAATGAAATGATTTGTTATACAGTCAGCCCTCTATATACATGGATTCTTCCCCTGTGGATTCAACCAACTGTGGATCAAAAATATTCAGAAAATTAAAAAGGATGGTGCAGACTCGTTTTGTTATTTCTTCCTAAACAATACAGTCTAACAACTATTTAAATAGCATTTAGATTGTATTAGATGTGATAAGTAATCTAGAGAGGATGTAAAGTATATGGAAGCATGTGTGGAGGTTATGTGCAAATGCAAAGCCATTTAATATAAGGGACTTGAACATCCATGAATGTTGGTATCCTTGGGGATTCCTGGACCCAGTCTCCCACAGATATTAAGTGACAACTGTATTTCGCTTCAGTAATTATTCTAGGAAAGTGTAATTTATCTAATTGTTTTCAGCAAATTTGAAATAAAAATATTGACATTAAAATCACAAAATTTTATTAACAATTTATAGCTGTGTGATTTGCCCACATTACCCCATCGGTTTCTGAAACACTTGGTGTTTTAGACTTTCAATTTTAAAAATACTTGTAAAATGAAAAAGCTGATTAGGAATATGCAGCAAATCTCAGTTTCATAGTTTATTTTAGTGCCATTAATAGCATAAGTCTTTTGTTTTTTTGATTCGGGACTCTTTCTCTTAGAAATACTGCTGACTTCTTACTAAATCAATGTATAACCAACCATTTATTGAATTTCTACTATGAATTAGACGCTAGTAGATTCCACAGGAGATAACACAGCAGTTATTTTTCACAAAACATAACATAGTTTCTAAAATAGGGAAAGAAAAAAGTGTGCTTGAAATGTAAAACAAAATAATACACATAAAAAGTCCAAGTGTTGAAGAAGGAAAATACCTTAGCATTTTAAAATAAAGAAAACATTTCTTTTATTAACATATGATTGAGATCCAGAAAATTTCACAATTTGGCATTTTGTACACTATCTCTTTAAGTGTTATGATTTCCTCAACAAAGTGCTTTAATGTGGAATTTTTAGCTAAAATTTTTGTCTTAATGCTTTTAAAGATACTGATTGTGAATTTTTATGTTAATTTGAACAGAACAAAGAATGAAAACTGGCATATTGACTTCTTAGAATATGCTCACAAATGTAAAACGCTACTCTGTGTTCGTCCTACTTAACAATGCTCTGTCACACTTTCTTTTGTTAAAAGGCATACTATCTAAAATCGAACAATAAATTTCTATGCAAATAATAATAATAAATAACAAAGTATGATAGATTATATAAACATGGTGTAAAAAAATTAGTGCATGGACAAGTGTCATCTAATTTGAGCTCAGAAAAGGCCTTTGTCTTTCCTAGGGCTAAAAAATTAAAATTATTTTGGTGAGAGGATATTGTATTTTACAAAGAGGAAAAAATATGAGTACAAAGAGTAATGCTTCTTTGAGATAATGTATGACTTTATTTTGATCATTTTAAAATACAAAAGTGAAAAATATGAATTTATTGAACCAATGAATTTTAGACTCAGATTTAACTGAGTGAATTAAAATTTATTACTTTTGATAGAAAATGTCCTGCCATACAAATCACAAAAGTTTCAAAAGAGCTCACACTTTTATCTTCTGTACTTGAAAAAGATGATAGAAGAGCAGCTTTTGAAATTTATCATAAACATCTCAGGAGTCCACACTTCATTTTATGTCTGATTATACTAATATCTGCATGTTTAATACTGCACTGTGAGTAACAGATTGGTTTCAGAAAGCAAGAAATTAACAACAAACAAAGAAAATGCATTCAAATCCCTTGTCACTAAAATCAGTAAACTGACCAATTTTAAATATGAGTTGCTTTATTATGTAGTAATGAAGTTTATTTAGATTTTTGGCAACCAAATTACAGCTCAGGGGTTTATCAACCACTCTAAGAAGAATACACTTGCATTCTTTTTTAACTAACCCATTACTCTTCAGAAAGAAACATTTGCTATTGTTTTCTTGAATATTTAGTTTTCGAAACATTAGAGCTGTTCACTCTTCTCAATCTAACTGAATAATTAGATCTTTTGTTTTAGTACTTAATAGCAGAAAAGAAAAAACTGGCCTAACAACTTTTTCCTAGTACACATTTTCTTAAGAGAAATTAACACCATTATATTTTTTAATTCAGTTCTATTAAGCAAGCTCTACTAAATTCTAATTTTTTAGCATCACAAACACTTATTATTTCCAAGAGCTAAAAATCAGAGAAATAATAATTGTATAGTTTAAAGCAAAACCGAGTCCCAATCTACTCTGCTCATATTGTAAGGTTATCACATATATTTGATATCCTATTATGTCATAATTTTATGGAGGGTATGGCTAATGAGGATACAATATTTGAAATTATTTTTAAAGTAATATTGTAAAGAAAATCCAAGCAGGACCACTAAATATAGGCATTCTTTTTATATCGACTTTGTAGAGAATTTGATATCTATCATTGTTCTATATTTTTACTTCCTTGTTATATTTCTCTAAAGATGAAAAATTATTCTAGCCTTGTCAATCATTCCAACAGCGATAAGAGGGATGATCCCCTCTTCTCTCATTTTTCATTGTCACCGCCTTGCTTTAAACACTTAGCATCTCATAGCTATGCTATTGTCATGTGTTTTAATTGTTATCTGCATTTTTTAGCCACCTTTGCTTCTGTTTGCCAGGCAGAGAATTTCATCTTTGCCACCCAGAGTCAGGAGTTCAACCTCTGCCAACTTTGGCTAAACAAGAATCATTGTTACCCAGAACTCAAGAGAATCTCCTATGACCCTGCTGTGTTTGTCTTACTGATTTATAATCATAATGCTGTGAATTAAAATTCACATTACCTCTATTAATATCAATGAGGAAATAAAGTCATACATACAGTATGTGACCTGTCCAAGGATAACTACTAATTTAGCAGCAAATCAAACATATAAACACATAAAAAGACAACTTCAGTGAAATCGACTTTTTTAGATTTCACATATAAATATGATCCTACCAGAGGCTTGGGAGAGGAGGAGGGATGAGGAAAGGAGAGATGTTAATCAAGAGTATGAAGTTTCAGTTAGAAAAGATTTTTAATATTCTCATCACAAAAAAATATGGTAAATTGGTCAGGCACAGTGCCTCATACTTGTAATCCCAGGGCTTTGGGAGACCAAGGTGGGCAGGTTGCTTGAGTCCAGCAGTTGAAGACCAGCCTGGCCAACATGATGAAACCTTGTCTCTATTAAAAATACAAAAATTAACCAGGCGTGGTGGCATGTGCCTGTAACCACAGCTACTCGGGAGGCTGAGGCACGAGAATCACTGGAACAGGAGAGGCAGAGGTTGCAGTGAGCCAAAGTCACACCACTGCAATCCAAATTGGGTGGCAGAGAGAGACACTCTCTCCAAATAAATAAGTTGGCAAGGTATCTTTCTACAATGTATACACAGATATAAACATCACATTGTACCCCATATACATATGTATCAAAATATTATTTGTCAGTTAAAAATAAATAAATACGAAAAGGCAACTTTAGTATCTATCAAGAAATATAATTTAAAATAAATATTTTTAACTCATCAGATTGATGGGTTCAGAGTTTTTAAATATCTGGTTTTAGTGAACATGTGAAAAAATGAATATTTTCAGTATGTAGTAGGAATGGAAATCAGTACAACTTTTTTTTTACTTGCAACAGAATTTTTTTTCTTTATTTCTTTTTAAAAATAAATAAGACACAGGCGCAGAACGTGCAGGTTTGTTACATAGGTATACATGTGCCATGGTGGTGTGCTGCACCTATTGACTTGTCCTCTAAGTTTCCTCCACTCGCGCCCCACCCCACAAGAGGCCCTGGTATGAGTTGTTCCCCTCTCTGTATCCATGTGTTCTCAATGTTCAACTCCCACTTATGAGTCAGAACATGCAGTATTTGGTTTTCTGTTCCTGTGTTAGTTTGTAGCAAAGACATGGAACCAACCCAAATGCCCATCAGTGATAGACTGGATAAAGAAAATGGCACATATACACCATGGAATACTATGCAGCAATGAAAAGAAATGAGAGCATGTCCTTTGCAAGTACAACTTTTTAGAAGAAGAATTAGAAAATTCTCACAAAAAAAATGCTTATTTTTTTCATCCAACAATTCTACTTCTAGCAATATTTCTTATAATATATTCACAGATGTATATATGGGTTTATTTATGCATGATTAAAATTGTGCAATTTTATTTAAAGTAAAAAATTTATTATTTTGAAGCAGAAATTTACATAAAATATATTTTATATGTTTAAAAAAGAAACAATGGTTATACAATAGGCTTTTATAAATCTAAAAGCAAGTGGTAATATTTGAGATGTGAAGAGAAGTGAAAACGTAAGTACCCAATGAATAAACTTTCTTTTTATTCAACAGGATACACTTTATATTGTTTGGATACTAAAAGAAGTGTGCATTCCTTACTACTTTTTAAATAATTATACACGTGAATAAATTTCTAAGTAATAATAATAGACAACAAATATGAGAGCTTACATTACATGATTTATTTTTTTCTGTTATATTTCAGTATATTCATGCTTTGAGGTAAAATAAGGAACCTAGGAGTACACAACAGGATAAAATAAAGTTATATATATGTATTCTTGTATGTATACATTCTTATATGTATATGTATGTATGTTTATATATACATATTTATATGTGCATTTCTTTTAGTTTCCAATTCTTTTTTAATTTTTGTGTTTTATTTTCATAGGTTTTTGGAGAATGGGTGGTGTTTGGTTACATGAATAAGTTCTATAGTGGTGATTTTTGAGGTTTTGGTGCACCTATCATTTGAGCAATATTCACTATACCCAATTTGTAGTCTTTCATCCCTCACCCCCCTCCCACTCTTTGCCCTGAGTCCCTAAAGTGCATTGTATAATTCTTATGTCTTTGCATCCTCATAGCTTAACTCCCACTTATGACTTATGAGTGAGAACATATGATGTTTGGTTTTCCATTTGTAAGTTACTTCACTTAGAATAACAGTCTCTAATTCCACCCAGGTTGCTGCAAATGCCATTATTTCTTTATTTTTATTTTTATTGTTGAGTATTATTCCATGATACGTGTGTGTGTATCTATCTATCTATCTCACAATTTCTTTATCCAATCATTGATTGATGGGCATTTGGGCTGGTTCCATATTTTCACAATTGCACATTGTGCTGCTATAAACATGCATGTACAAGTAACATTTTCATATAATGATTTCAGAAAGTAGAACTACCATTTAATCCAGCAGTCTCACTAGTGGGTATCTAGAAGTGAGGAAAAGAAGTCATTATATGTGCATTTTTATACTTTTTATTATTAATATACAATTTATTATTGTATAAATTTATGAGGTACAAGAGATGTTATAATTTATTAATACTACATGGAATACTTATGTCAAATTAGTTAATATATACATCACTTCAAATACTTAACATTTTTTGTAATTTGTACATTAGCAAATTTGAAATGTACAATACTCCATTATTAACTACATTCTTCATGCTAAGCAATAGAGCTAAAAAATAAAATGTTTCTCCTCACAGAGTTTGGACCTTTTGATCATCATCTCTCCAACTCCCCACCCACTAATGCCATTTAATTCTCTGCTTCTATGAGTTCAATTTTTTTTTTTTTTTAGATTCCACAAATAAGTGAAAACTTTGTCTGTCTGTTCCTGGCTTGTTTTACTCAGCATAATGTTCTCTAATTCTATCCATGTTGTCATAAATGACAGGATTTCCTTTTTTGTTAAGACTGAATAGTATTCCATTGTGTATATATAAAATATTTATTTATCAATTCATCTGTTAGTGAACACATGCTGCTTTCATGACTTGGCTATTGTGACTAGTGCTGCAATTAATATCAGAGTGAGACATTTTTTCCACAGACTGATTTCAAGTCTTTGGGGTAAATGCTAATATTAAGATTCAGGGATTATATGGCAATTTTATTTTTAATTTTTTGAGGAACTTCAATATAGTTTTCCATAATGGCTGTAGTAATTTACATTCTCCAAAACAGAATTAGGGTAAATACTAGAATGCTAGAATTAGGTAAATACTAGAATTAGGATTCAGGGATTATATGATAATTTTATTTTTAATTTTTTGAAGACCCTCCATACAATTTTCCATAATGGCTGTATTAATTTACATTCCCACCAATAGTACACAAGGATTTCCTTTCCTCCATATCTTTGCCAACACTTGTTATCTCTGGACTTTTTTTATAACAGCCAATGTGATAGGTGTGAAATGATATATTACTGTGGTTTAATTTCTATTTCTCTAGTGATTAGGAATGTTGAACATTTTTTCATAAATGTAGAAGGTTTGTCAAAGATCAGATAGTTGTACATATGTGGCATTATTTCTGAGGGCTCTGTTCTGTTTCATTGGTCTAGATCTCTGTTTTGGTACCAGTACCGTGCTGTTTTGGTTACTGTAGACTTGTAGTATAGTTTGAAGTCAGGTAGTGTGATGCCTCCATCTTTGTTCTTTTCACTTAGGATTGACTTGGCAATGCAGGCTCTTTTTTGGTTCCATATGAACTTTAAAGTAGTTTTTTCCAATTCTGTGAAGAAAGCCATTGGTAGCTTGATGGGGATGGCATTGGATCTATAAATTACCTTGGGCAGTATGGCCATTTTCACGATATTGATGCTTCCTACCCATGAGCATGGAATATTCTTCCATTTGTTTGTATCCTCTTTTATTTCATTGAGCAGTGGTTTGTAGTTCTCCTTGAAGAGGTCCTTCACGTCGCTTGTAAGGTGGATTACTAGGTATTTTATTCTCTTTGAAGCAGTTGTGAATGGGAGTTCACTCATGATTTGGCTCTCTGTTTGTCTGTTATTGGTGTATAAGAATGCTTGTGATTTTTGCACATTGATTTTGTATCCTGAGACTTTGCTGAAGTTGCCTATCAGCTTAAGGAGATTTTGGGCTGAGACGATGGGGTTTTCTAGATATACAATCATGTCATCTTCAAACAGGGACAATTTGACTTCCTTTTTTCCTAATTGAATACCCTTTATTTCCTTCTCCTGCCTAGTTGCCCTGGCCAGAACTTCCAACACTATGTTGAATAGGAGTGTTTGTTTGACAAACCTGACAAAAACAAGAAATGGGGAAAGGATTCCCTATTTAATAACTGGTGCTGGGAAAACTGGCTAGCCATATGTAGAAAGCTGAAACTGGATCCCTTCCTTACACCTTATACAAAAATTAATTCAAGAAGGATTAAAGACTTAAATGTTAGACCTAAAACCATAAAAACCCTAAAAGAAAACCTAGGCAATACCATTCAGGACATAGGCATGGGCAAGGACTTCATGTCTAAAACACCAAAAGCAATGGCAACAAAAGCCAAAATTGACAAATGGGATCTAATTAAACTAAAGAGCTTCTGCACAGCAAAAGAAACTACCATCAGAGTGAACAGGCAACCTACAGAATGGGAGAAAATTTTTGCAACCTACTCATCTGACAAAGGGCTAATATCCAGAATCTACAATGAACTCAAACAAATTTACAAGACAAAAACAAACAACCCCGTCAACAAGTGGGCAAAGGATATGAACAGACACTTCTCAAAAGAAGATATTTATGCAGCCAAAAGACACATGAAAAAATGCTCATCACTGGCCATCAGAGAAATGCAAATCAAAACCACAATGAGATACCCTCTCACCCAGTTAGAATGGCAATCATTAAAAAGTCAGGAAACAACAGGTGCTGGAGAGGATGTGGAGAAATAGGAACACTTTTACACTGTTGGTGGGAATGTAAACTAGTTCAACCATTGTGGAAGTCAGTGTGGCGATTCTTCAGGGATCTAGAACTAGAAATACCATTTGACCCAGCCATCCCATTACGGGGTATATACTCAAAGGATTACAAAACATGCTGCTATAAAGACACATGCACATGTATGTTTATTGCGGCACTATTCACAATAGCAAAGACTTGGAACCAACCCGAATGTCCAACAATGATAGACTGGATCAAGAAAATGTGGCACATATACATCATGGAATACTATGCAGCCATAAAAAATGATGAGTTCATGTCCTTTGTAGGGACATGGATGAAGCTGGAAACCATCATTCTCAGCAAACTATTGCAAGGGCAAAAAAACAAACACCGCATGTTCTTACTCATAGGTGGGAATTGAACAATGAGAACACCTGGACACAGGAAGGGGAACATCACACACTGGGGCCTGTTGTGGGGTGGGGGAAGCGGGGAGGGATAGCAGTAGGAGATATACCTAATGTTAAATGACGAGTTAATGGGTGCAGCACACCAACATGGCACATGTATACATATGTAACAAACCTGCACGTTGTGCACATGTACCCTAAAACTTAAAATATAATAAAAAAAAAATAACCAAAAAAACATAAATGTAGAGGGAATTTGTGTGTCTTCTTTTGAGAAATTTATATTCAAGTCCCAGTCCGTTTATTATCTTGCTATTGAGTTGTTTGAGTTCCTTACATATTTTGGATATAAAATCTTTATAGGATGTATGGCTAACAAATAGTTTATTCTAATCTGCAGGTTGACTCTCTACACACTGCTAATTGTTTTCATTGATGTGGAAAAGCTTTTTAGTTTGATGTAATCCTGTTTGTCTGTTTTTGCTTTTGTTATTTGCTTTTTTTTTTTTTTTTTTTTTTTTGTTTGAGACGGAGTCTTGCTCTGAAGCCCAGGATGGAGATCAGTGGCGCGATCTCGGCTCACTGCAAGCTCCGCCTCCCAGGTTCAAGCCATTCTCCTGCCTCAGCCTCCTGAGTAGCTGGGACTACAGGCGCCCGCCACCACTCCCGGCTAATTTTTTTGTATTTTTAGTAGAGACAGGGTTTCACCGTGTTAGCCAGAATGATCTTGATCTCCTGACTTCGTGATCCGCCCGCCTTGGCGTCCCAAAGTGCTGGGATTACAGGCGTGAGCCACCGCGCCCGGCCTGTTATCTGCATTTTTGAGGTCAAATGCATATCATCACCCTGACCAAACACGACAGTATTTTCCTTTTTTTATTTTCATTGTTTGAAGGTGTACAGTTTGTGGTCTTAAATTTCAGACTTTAATCCATTTTGAGTTGATCTGTGTATATGATGTAAGATAAGGGTTTCATTTCAATCTTCTGTTGGTGGATATTCAGTTTACCTACCACTGTTTATTGATAAGATTATCCTTTGCCATTGTGTATTCTTTGCACCTTTGTAGAAAATCAATTGACCATACATATGTTGGTTCATTTCATGCCTCCCCATTCTTTTCCATTGGTTGATATATCTGATTTTTTTATTTTTATTTATTTATTTTTTTGCCACTACCATACTGTTAATAACCACAGCTTTGTGGTACAGTTTGAAATCGGAATGTGAGACCACCAATTTGGGGTTTTTTTTGCTCATGATTGCCTTGGCCATTCCTGGTTTTTTTGTTTGTTTGTTTTTGTTTGTTTGTGTCTCTCTGTGTGTGTGTGTGTGTGTGTGGTGTTACAACTGGCCTGATAATCCCATAGAACTGATATTTATGATTTCTTTTGGAAAAACATAGAAATTGACTCACTCAGTCTTAAAACTTGAGAAAGTTACAATTGTCTTATCTAACTTACTTTCTCAGGAAACCAACCTTCAGAGCTCCCAGATGGTATCAAGGTACTGAAACTTACCACCAGAACACCACATCTGGACAATGAGATGCCAGATCCCTCACCCATTATGATTGCCTGACTGACCACCTGCTGCCTATTGACAAATTCCTCTTTCTTACCCCTAATTCCCATACATGGTTACATTTCTTCCCTGCTATTTCAATTCTTAATTTTAGTCCATCAAGGAAATGGGTTTGAGGTTGATATCCCATCTCCTTGGCTGCAGCACCCAGTTAAGGCCTTCTTCCCTGGTAATACTCATTGTCTCCATGATTGGCTGTCTGTGCCAAAAGCAGCAGAACCTAGACCGAATCCCTGGTGTTTTTATAACAGTTCCATATAAAAGTCAAGATTGTTTTGTTCTATATTTGTGAAAATGATATTGAAATTTTGATAGGAATAGCATTGAATCTATAGATATCTTTGCATACTATGAACATTTAAAGAATGTTGTTTTGATTGGTGAACACAGAATATTGATCTATTTATTTGTCTTCCTCAATTTCTTTCTACAGTGTTATATAGTTTTTATTGTACAGTTTTTTTCACTCCACTAGTTAAATTTGTTCCTCAGTATTTTATTGTAGCTACTGTATATAGGATTGTTCTCTTGATTTATCTGCTGGATATTTTTGTTGTTGTTGTTAGTGTATACAAACGCTGCTGATTATCGTATGTTGATTTTGTATCCTGCAAATTTTCTATATTTCTTTATTACTGCTAATATGCTTGGCTGGAATTTTTTTGGTTTTTAATATATAAAATTATGTCATCACCAAACAGTGAAATGTTAACTTTTTCTTTTCCTATTTGAATGCCTTCTGTTTTTTTCTTGCTGAATTGCTCTGATGAGGACTTCCAGCCTTATGCTGAATAGAAATGGCAAGTGTGGGCATTCTTGCCTTGTTCCAGATACTACAGGACAGGCTTTCAATTTTTCATCTTAAGTATAATGTCAGCTATGGGGTTCTCATATATGGCCTTTATTGTGATGAGGTGCATTTCTAATACATCTAATTTGTTGAGAGTTTTTATTATGAAAGGATGTTAAATTTTGTCATATACTTGTTATATATCTAATTAAATAATATGGTTTTTGTCTTTTATTTTTTAAAACTGTGATGTATCACATTTACCAATTTATGTAGCTTGAACCATCCTTGCATCTCCAGAGTAAATCCCCCTTGAGCATTGATTTTAATGTGTTGTTGATTAAATTTGCTAGTATTTAATTGAGGATTTTTACATCTATGTTCATCAAGAATATTGGTCTGCATTGTCTTTTCTTGCAATGTTCTTCTTTGACTTTGGTATCAAAGCAATGTCAGCCTTGTAAAAAGAGTTTGGAATTATTACCCATCCTTGATTTTTGGAAAGAGCTTCAGAAGAATTGATATTAATTATTTGTTAAATTTGTGGTAGAATTAAGCCATGGAACCATCAGGTCTTAGGCTTTTTTTTAGAAGAGAGATGTTGTATTACTGATTGAATGTTCTTATAGATATTTGTCTGTTCATATATTCTAATTCTTCATGATTTAGTCTTGGTAGGTTGTCCATCTCTGGAAATTTATTCATAAGCTTATTCAATTGGTTGGTGTATAATTGTTCATAGTAATCTCTTATGATTTCTGTGTTATTAGTTGTAATGTCTCATTTTTTATTTTTATTTTATTTGTGTCTTTCTTCTTTGTCTTAATTTGTCTAGCTAAACTTGTCTATTTTGTCTATCTTTTAAAAAGATATTTTTGTTATACTGATCTTTTGCATTGTTTCTGTAGTCCCTATTTTACTTACTTCTATTCTGGTCTTTATTATTTTCCTTCTTCTGCTACATTTGGACTGTATTATTTTGTTCTTCTAGTTGTTTAAGGTTTAATATTAGGTTGTTTATTTTAGATATTTCTTCTTTTTCATGTGATATTTATAACTATAAACTTTCCTCTTTGAACTACTTTTGCTGTACCACATAAGTTTTGGTATGTTGTGTTTCTATTTTTGTTTTTCTCAGACATTTTTAATTTTCTTTTTAATTTCTTTTTGAATTCTTAACTGTTCAGGAGCATGTTCACTAATTTCCATGCATTTATGAATTTTCCAAATTCTTCCTGTTATTGATTTCTCATTTTATAACATTTCAGTTGGAAAAGATACTTAATGTAAGTTTAATCTTCCTAAATTTGCTGAAGCTTGTTTTGTTCCATAATACATAATCTATTCTGAAGAATGTTCTGTTTGTACTTGGAAAGAATGCATGTTGGCTGTTGGCTGGGATATTCCATAGTCTTTAGGTCTGTTCGGTCTAAAATGTTTCAGTCCAAAATATCCTCATTAACTTTCTGTCGGAATATGTCCATTGCTGAAAATGGGATGATAAAATTTTCTACTATTACTGTACTGAAGTCTATCTCTCCCTTCAGATCTATTAATATTTGCTTTATATATTTAGGTGTGTCAAGATATGTGTATACTTACAATTGTTATATCCTCTTAATGAATTGACCCATTCATCATTATATAATATCTTCGTCTCTTGTTTTTTTTTAATGTCTATTTTTTCTGACATTAATGTAGTTAATTCTATTTTTTTTTTTTTGGTTTTCATTTGCAGAAAATAACTTTTTTCATCTCTTCACTTTCCATCTATGTGTATCCTTAAAAGGAAAGTCTCTTGTAGCTAGTGTATATTTAGATCTTGTGATTTTTGTTTTGTTTTGGTTTTGTTTGTGTTTTTGCTATTTTTTGCTTTTTTTTATACTTTTCCCATGGTGTTGAAGATATTGCTTTTTTATGCTTTCTTTTGTAATTTTTTTATTTTATATATATATGTATATATTTTATTATACTTTAAGTT
Organism: Homo sapiens; assembly: GCF_000001405.40. Classification (NCBI taxonomy): domain Eukaryota; kingdom Metazoa; phylum Chordata; class Mammalia; order Primates; family Hominidae; genus Homo; species Homo sapiens. The sequence goes on along the minus strand of NC_000004.12, from coordinate 131,138,119 downwards.
CTAGGGTACAGGTGCACAACGTGCAGGTTTGTTACATATGTATACATGTGCCATGTTGGTGTGCTGCACTTTTTTATCCATTCAGTCACTCTGTGTTTTTATTGGATAATTTAATTCATTTACATTCAAAGTAATTATTAATAAGTAAAGACTCACTGTTGCCATTTTGTTTGTTGTTTACTGGTTGTTTTATAAATGTGTTCTTTCTTGCTTCCTCCCTTGTTGCATTTCTTTGTCATTTGATGGTTGTCTTTAGTTTGCTTTGAATCATTTCTATTTTTGTTTAATGCTTCTGCTGAATATTTTTCCTTTGTGTTTACCATGAGGCTTACATAGAAGATCTGATACTTATAGGACTATTTCAAACAGACAACAACTTAACATTGCATGAAACAACTCTACTCTTTTACTGCCCCTATTATACTTTAGCATTTTGATGTTAGAATTTATTTTAACTCTTGTGTCCTTGCACTGTCATCTACAAATCTGAGAAGAGGACTTCCTCTACTTTCCCTTTTAAGTGTCCCTTTTCAGAGATAGACCTTTACTACTTAGTTTAGTCTATTATTTAGGAAGGATCAACTAGTAACAACTTTGGACAGGCAGAGCATGTTCAGATTTCTCTAGTTGGCTGGGTTGCTGCCTTTGCTCTCATGTTGGTGAGCTTGTGGCTGAGCTCTGCTGACTGGTGAGGCCATTGACTTGGCTGTGCTATCAGGCAGAACTGCTGGGTACTGTAATTGCTTCTGGTCAGGCAAGTCACAAGATGTATTCCCTGGCCAAGCAATTTCATGCTTTAGAATCTGCAGCTGGGCAGGACTGCAGACTGAGACCTGAAGTTAGGTGGAGTCACTGCTTAAGAGAGACAGGAGCAGACGCTACGCTCCTTAGAAATGCATGATTAAAATGGTCTCCCTGTTAGGGTGGAGTAGTGTGGTGGGCCTTTGGCTGGTTTGAATCACTGACTTACCGAGTCTAGTATGTATAGCCCCTGTGCTTTTCCAAAATTTGTGGAGGTAGACATTTCCCTGCTTCAGTAGAGTTGTTGAGTGCACTTTTTGGCTGAGTGGAGCTGCTCCTTGACTTTCTGAGTCAAATCCATCTAGGCCCTATGCTTCTCTAACATCCACAGAGGTGGGAGATTTCCTGCCTGGGTGGGCCCATTGGGTGAGCTCTTTGGCTGAGTGGAGGTGCTGCTTGACTTCTGGGACCAAGCAGGACTAGTCCCTATTTTTATTCAAAATGCACAGAGATAGAAGTCTCCCTGCCTGGGCAAAGTTGTTGGGCAGGATTTTTGGCTGAGTGGAGCCTCTGCTTGATTCCTGGGTTATCAAGCCAATCTATTCCTTATGCTTCTCTAAGATGTAAGGAGGTGGAAGTCTTCTTTCCTGGGCATAGTTGTCTGATGGACTTTGATGGCTGAGCAAAGTCACTGCTTGACTTCCTAGGTCAAGCCAATCTAGCCCATTTGCTTCTCTGACATGAGAGGAGATGGGTGTTTTCCTATTTGTGAGGATCATTGTGGTGGGTTTTAAGGCTGGCTGGGGAGTCTAGAAGTTTACCAACTCAAGCTAGTTTGAACTTCCACTGTGCTTCTGAAAGCATCTAGCTTAGCTTTGCAAGTGGCTTAAAAGATTGGCTGGTATCTATGATAGGGCACCACAGAAACACAGAGATACCACCAAGATCTATGTGTGCTTGTCACTATTAACTCTGTCTCCTTTCTTTATTTCTTCTTGACTCTGAGTGGCCTAGCCATGCAGTTTCTCTCAATTTATTTTGTGAAGTGAGACTAAAGTGAGCTTCCTACAAACATCCTGGAATGCTGGAAACAATGGCTGACTGTTTCTGGTTCTCTTTTCTCTCTGCAGAAACTGTGAACCCAGGGAAATCCTCTTTGTCTGGTGTTGTGGCAACTTGGAGGAGGGGAAGCGAAGATGCAGTCAGAGTGAGACCATTTTTTTTAGCTCCCTAATTTGGATTTTATTCAGTTTTCTAGACCATATGAGTGTCTCGGGCATGTTTCCAAGTGTCAGGGTTTTCAACAGGACATTCTAGTCTGTGGATAGTTGCTAGTTAAACTTTCTGTGTAGAGGTTGGGAGTTCAGAACTTCCTATTCCATGATCTTGCTGACATCACTCTATACATTCTTGTGTATATGTGACTTGTGTGTGTGTGTGTGCATTTATGTGTGTGCATTTGTATGTATGATATCTTGCTGACATCACTGTATATATTCTTGTGTATATGTGATGTGTGTGTGTGTGTGTGTGTGTGTGTGTGCATTTGTATGTGTGTCGTATTAAGGCCTGAACTTCTTAGATATACAGTACCCAGAATGACAATGAGTTGAGAAATTCAACAAATGGCACATTGGTGCCTAAAAGAATGACATTTCTTCACATGAATAAGCCTTTTATTACTAGTGATATATCCTAGCTCATTATGGAATGAGGTCAATTAATATCATTTATTTGTATATATTTATTACTATTTCTGTAAAGATCAGAAGATTGCATGCAAACTGCTATAAATCAAACATATATTAATGCTGAACATAGAATCTTAAGTCAAGTGAAACTACACTCAAAGTAAACTAGAAATTATAAACATTCATCATTTCAAAATTAATGTATAATAAAATTACGACTCTTTTATACTAAACAATCTATGGATATCAATAGCAGAGTTCATGTTCATGGATAATTTATTTTAAAATTCTAATAAAAGCTGTGACCACAATAGTATATGTGTAACATCAATTAATATAAATGTATTAAAATATTTAAAATTATATTTTTAAAATTGGAGCTGTTTACATATACTGATTATACATTGAATCTTATTAATATACTTGACCTCTAAAATTTAGCCTTCTAATCCTGAAAATAATACATTTGATTATTTCACATTTAAAACTGATAATCATTACTTTCAAAATTATGACATAATTTTATCACTTACTATTTCTGTACAAGTATAACTATATTATATATCCTCACCACAATTTTAGTCTTTATTAATTGGCAGATGCTACTTCTAATATAATTTTCTAGGTAAAATAAATGAAAAAATAAAACTCTAGTGAATTTAAGAAAATATTTCTTAAAAAATCATAGAAGATAAAGGAGAAAATATGTCATTTTTGGCTCTCTTAAAACTTTCCTCTGGGTTCAAGTTACTATCTGATGTCATGTCCTTGCTCCAAATTAGCTTTATTTTCTCTCCTCTTTCTCTGTATTGTTATTATATATCATAACTTCGTATGTTATAAACCATACAATACAATTGTATGGCTACAGTCTTATGCAATTTTTTATTGTTGTAACTTAGTTCATAGAAAAAAAAGAAGAAAAATATGACTATACCGTATTTTATATCTACCTACATAGTACTCCTTACTGGTGCTGCCTACTTTTTCAAATAGATTCCAATTGTTCTCTGACATTATTTACTTCAATATTAGAAATAACTTTCAATATTTATCCGAAAGCTAAAGTGCTAGCTACAAATTATCCTAATTTGTTCATATTTGGTATTTTCATTTCATTTTCACTAAATCTGAAAGATAATTTTTCTGGCTATAGGGTTGTAGATTGACATTTTTTTCTCCTAGTACTTTGGCTACATTGATCTATTGACTTCTGAGCATGATTGTTTCTGAATAAAAAGTTAGTTGTTGATCTTACTAGGATTCCTTTGTATACAGTAAGTATTTTATTTCATGCTGCTTTAAAGACTTTATTTTATTTTCGGCTTTCAACAGTTTGAATATGATCTATCTAGGTATCACTCCCTTTGCATTGATAACATGCTTGTGGTTGGCTGGACTTCTTGTTTGTGCATAATGCCATTTTCCATCAAATTGGAGAAATTTCATCCATTACACTTGTTAATAATTTGCTTCACTTTTCTCTCTCTTCTGTCTATTTGGTATTCCCATTATGCATATTCAAGTTTGCTTAAAGCTGTCTCTTATTTATTTAAGGTTCTGTTATTTTTTTAAAATGTGTGCTTCTGTTTTTTTTTTTTTTTAATCATCTCTATTGCTGTCTTGAGTATTGAGCCTTTCTTCTGCCAGGTCTTATCTTTAGTTAAGCACCTGTAGTGAATTTTTCATGTCAGTGGTACTTAGTAACTACAGAAAATGAATTTTTAAAGAATATTTATGTATTAATATTTTCTAGTTGTGTAACTATCATACTTTTTGTATTTTTAATTTTTTAAGACAGTGTTTTTTGAGCATATTTACAATGACTACTTTGAAATATTTCTCTGCTTAGTCTATATTTGGACATCTTTTTTGTGTGTGTGAGATAGAGTCTCACACTGTCACCAGGGCTGCGGTGCAATGGTGTGATCTCAGCTCACAGCAAACTGCCCCTCAGGTTCAAGTGATTCTCATGCCTCAGCCTCCAGAGTAGCCAGGATTACATGCATGTGCTACCACACCTGGCTAATTTATGTATTTTTAATAGAGATGAGTTTTTGCCATGTTGGCTAGGCTGCTCTCAAACTCCTGGCCTCAAGTGATCTGCCTGCCTCAGTCTCCCAAAGTGCTGGAATACAGACATGAGTCACCATGTCTGGCCTATTCGGACATCTTCGAAACTAGTTTCTATTGCCTGCTTGCTTATTCCCGGATATAGGTCACACTTTGTGTTTCTCTACATCTCTCATGGTTCGTTTTGTTTGTTTTTTTTTCCTGAAAATTATATATATATATATATATGTAAATTTTATTTATTTATTTATGTTTTGAGACAGGGTCTTACTTTGTCACTCAGGGTGGAGTGCAGTGCCATGTTCATGGCTCACTGCAGCCTTGAACTCCTGAGCTTAAGTAATCCTCCCACCTCAGCCTTTCAAGTAGCTTGGACTACAGGGTTATGCCCCCATGTGCAGTTAATTTTTTTTGAAGAGACAGAATCTCACTATGTTGCCTAGGCTCATCTTGAACTCCTGGCCTCAAGAAATTCTCCCACCTTAGTTTCCCAAAGTGCTGGGATTACAGGCATGAGCCACTGCACCTGGCCAGAAAATTATATATTTTATATAATGTAACAACTTTGAATTCTCATCTCCCTGGAATTGTTGTTGATTTTTTATATTTTTTTATTTAGTTTTTACAATTACTTTATCCAACTAATTCTGTGAAGCATATTTTCTCTATTAAAAAATAGACAATGTACTTCCTTTACTTTCCTAATGCTGTTATAACAAATTATGACTAGTGTCTGTTTTAAGCTATTTTGTGTTGCTATACCCAAATATCTGAGACTGGTCCTGGAATTTATTTGGCTTATGGTCCTGGAAGCTGGGAAGTCCTAGATCAAGGGGCTTTGTCTTGTGAAGGTCTTCTTTTGGTGTCATACCATGACAGAAGGTGGAAGAGCAAGAGAGCACACATACAAGACCTGTGAGAGGGAGAGAGTAAGAGGGAGCCAAACTCACTTTACAGCAAAGCCACTCTCACAATAGCTAACCTACTTTATGATAATGACATTGAGATCCCTCATGACCTAATCACCTGTTATTAGGCCCCACCTCCTAACACTGTTATATTGGGGATTAGGTTTCCAACACATAAATTTTGGGGGACACATTCAAATCATAGTAGTGGCTTAGAACAACATAAAATAACATAAGTTAATTATGTTATAGTCTAGAAGTCAAAAGTGCAGATTCATTCTAATGGACTAAAATCAATTTGTTGGTAGATATGTGTCCCTTCTAAAGTGTCGAGGAACAGATCTATTTTCTTGCCTTTTCTAGCTTCTGTAGACTGTCTGCATTCCCTGGCTCATGGACTTACCCTTTACCTTCAAAACCAAAAGCATAGCATATTCCATTCTCTTAGCTATAAAATTGGGCTAAGTTTTAAAATTACTAAATTAATTTTATACTAAATGAATACTAAATCATCTGAAGTTATTTATAGCAAACTAACTGTACACTAAGTAAAAATGAAGCTTTTTTTGATAATGTTTAAAAATCTACAGATTTATAGTTTTTAAAATTCAGAAAATCACCATTCCTTGTTACAAATCAATAGAGATAAATCTCATTAATTTAAATTAATTTTCTCAATGATGGAGGTACAAATTTAAGTGTTAGACACAAAATATATATGTAAGGATCCTTTCCAGCTTTAGTATTCAGTGTAGCTAACTCTGAATGTAGAATTAATATTTTAACCTGCTAACTATCCTAATACCCAAGCATTTTGCCTGTTTTATAATAACATTCATTCTTCCAATACCAAAATTTAATTTAAACATATAATTCTGATAATTTTGAGCTATATATGACAGATTTATATCACTAGGTACATGTACGTACCACTTTAAATGGCACAAGAGCTTAAAATTTTGCTACAAGGCTCACAGCTTTACCAATATTTGGAAAGTTTGACAGCAACCTGTTTAAGTGCTGGTAGGGTTGCAAAATTCAAGGAGCTGTGAAAGTCTGAGATTGAAAGCATTTCCTATGAACTGCTGGGGGAAAATTGAGCAGTTTCACACACCTCAAATACAGAAAGGAATTGTAAGTCTTTGGTCACAGGCAATATTATTCAGTTGCTAAAATGCTTTTTTCTTTTAGCTGAAATGCTTTTATTTTTCAGCCGAGAGAGGTGGTTTTTCTAGTTATTTGTGCATTCACATTGCTATTATGAACTACTACGTCCTTTTAAAGAAATTTATATTTCATGATTAACATGTGTTAATATAAACAATGATTTTAAAGTTGCATTTAAATCTGTAAACATACTTCTTTTACTGGAGATGTGGAAAAATATTACATTTCCTTTTTATTTTCAATTTTTAGTAAAGCATTGAGATTCAGCTTGGAAATAAGCAGCATGCATTATCACGTATCTCTTCAAATCTTCTCTGGAGCATGCCTGCACATGCAAAATGTATTTTCCAGGGTACCCTTTGATGCATGAAGCACATGGGAAAGTGCTATTTAGCTCTTAGAAATTCTCTTCATGTTTTCTCTAAAGCACACAAGTTACAGCATTTCAATGTTAAATGTTTGGTATTGGTATAATAGTGTCTTTCCTATTAAAATAAAAAGCTATTAATAAATAAGTTCTTCTTTAAAGAAAAAAGTGAACAAAAAGCCAGTTTTAAAATCAGAGTTTGATGAATATTCTTTATATTTCCCAGAGACACAAATATGCTCATTTTGTAGTTCTAATGCAAAATCTGATCTATTGCTACTCACATGCTACATTACGAAGATGCCTGCATTTTTAATGCTGTGTCTATCTACCTACAGGCTAAAATGTATTCCTTAGAACTCAATTCGAATCTTAATTGTCTAACAATCTTTGAATGATTTTAATTTTTTTGGTACAAAGGGGACTAAAAATAGAGTTATAGACTGTACAGCCAACCTGTAATGAAAATGGTTTGTATTCCATGAAAGCTTATTTTAAATTTCTAAAGTATTTTAAATATGCATTGGTACAGCATATACAAATGTGGACATTCATAAGATCTATAGGAAATTGTGGATAATGTATATGTTGGTAGATTCTAAGTTTAGTAAACATTACCTGAAGATACAAATAATAATTTTCTGCCAACCACTGAATGTTGTGGGTGCTGTTTGTCATTTGTCTTTAATCAGTAGAATAATTTGAGTAAAAGACAGACTATCAGCTCTGAAAAAAGAGAAGCAAATAAATGCAAATTGCATTACCTAGCCCTGTGCCTGATGAATTTTGTCAATTTGCAGCTCAGAAAAATGGAGTGAAAGGTGCAATATGAAGATTCATTGTGTTGGAAAGGTATGGAATGATGTTTGTGCTGCCAATGTGGCTGGTGCTTAAGCAGCAAAATCCTAGAAAAGGGAACAGAGGAGTGACCCTCAAAATCTGCATGTAATTTTACTCTTGATTATTTTTTCCTGAATTCTAAGCTGGATGTATTGTACAGGGCAAAGTTTCAAGGCTGATATCACAAAGAAATAACTACAATCCTAAGAATTTTATTAGATGTCTCAGCATTTGGATTAGCCAGGAAGACAAAAGCTGGAGTTCCAGATCATCCGAGATGGAAAGGCTCTTGGAGTAAATAAAACTACAAGATTTAATTTGCTGTCATGCTAATTATTGAGAAACCCCACATTATTTTTAAGAATGCAATAAAAAGTTATTTAGGATAAAGGAAAATAATACTAAATGAAAACCTAGATCTGAAGATGGGAATGAAGAACACAAGAATTAGTAGGAGTATGGCCAATCTGTAACCTATTAATTGACCCCCTCAAACACCACCTAGATCTATGTACTTGGAGTTCCTATCATGGTACTGCTTGATGTAAAATAAAGGCTGCTGGCTGAGGCCTGAAATCCCAGCACTTTGAAAGGCCTAGATGGGAGGATTGCTTGAAGCTAGGAGTTTGAGACCAACCTGGGCAACATAGCTAGATCCCATCTCTACAAAAAATTTTAAAAATTAGTTGAGCATGGTGGCATATGCCTGTAGTCCCAGCTATTTAGGAGGCTGAGGTAAGAATATTGTTTGAGCCTAGGAGTTCCACGCTACAGTGAGCTATTATTGCACCACTGCCACTCCAGCCTGGGTGACAGAGTGAAACTCTGTCTCAAAAAACATTTAAATAAATAATAAAATAGATAAAAATGATTCTATACAGAATCTTTGTATATTGATAATTCTCACAGTCAGTCAAAGCTGAGAACTGCAGACGATTAATGGTAGGCGTTCAGAAACAGAAAAGGTTACTGTAGAGTGAAAGAGGTAACAAGTTAGGCTTGGAAGGACAGGTAGAGAGTACATGAGGAGAGTGTAAAGAAGACAAATAGTCAAAAAAAAACAAATTATAAAATAGCGATACTTTGGGTTTACAGGATTTTTAATACAATCTGAATAGAGAAACAGATTCACTCAGGGTAAAAGAACTGAGAGCTGGATTGGATTAGAGGCCCCATTGAGGAGTTATTTCTACATACAGAAATTCTGCATTTTCAATATGTATATCTTGATACTGTGAGAAACAGGTTTAATCAAGGGATTTTTTTAAAGCATATACTTATCAAAGACTGACTATAATCTGTATATATTTTGTGTTCCACCTACATATGCTGCTATTTTCATAATTATACACATTTTTGTAGTCTTTCCAGGCCGTTATAACAGAATACTACTGATATGGCTTGGCTCTGGGTCCCCATCCAAATCTCATCTCAAATTGTAATCCCCACATCTCAGGGAAGGGGCCTGGTAGTGGGGAATTGAATCATGGGGGGAGACTTTCCCCTTGCTCTTCTCATGATAGTGAGTGAGTTCTCATGAGATCCAGTTGTTTGTAAATGTGTAGCACTTCCCCCCACCATCTTCTCTGCCATAGTAAGATGTGTTTGTTTCCCCTTCATTTTACACCGTGATTATAAATTTCCTGAGGCCTCCCAGTCACACTTCCTGTTAAGCCTGCAGAACTGTGTCAATTAAACCTCTTTTCTTCATAAATTACCCAATTCCAGTAGTTCTTTCTGGCAGTGTGAAAACAGACTAATACAACTATAGACTAGGTGACTTAAAAACAAAAGAAATGTATTTTTCATAGTTGTGGAGGCTGAGAAGTCCAAGATCAAGGTGTCAGCAGATTCAGTGTCTGGTGAAGGTCATAGCAACTATCTTTTTGCTGTGTCCTCACATGGCCGAAGGAGGAAGGGAGCTCTCCAGGGTTTCTTTTAAAAGGGCACTAATCCCATTCTTGAAGGCTCTATCCTCACAGCCTCATCTAATCCTAATTACCTCCCCAAATCCCACTTTCTGAATACTATCACATAGGGTTCCAACATAGAAATTTTGGGAGAGCACAAGCATTCCATCTATGACATTCCATCCCTCCACCAGCTCCCCAAAATTTATGTCTTTCTCACATGTTATCAATTCAAAAGCTAAATCCAAAGTCTCACGTAAATATTGTCTAAATCAAGTATGAGTGAACTCAAGGCATGATTCATCCTGAGGCAAATTGCTCTCCAGCTTGAGCCTGTGAAATCAAACAAGTTGTATGCTTCCAAAATACAATGGTAACACAGGCATGAGAGACATTTATATTTTAAAAAAGATAAACAGAAAAGAAGAAATGAGTGACACATTCCTGAACAAGTTGAAAACCGAAATCAAATTGGAATTTGAGTTGACTCAAATCAAATTGGAATTTGAGTTGACTCAAATCAAATTCTATTAGATTGAGGCTCAAGACCCTGGCTCTACGTTCTGTACTCTGGACCTGATGGGGTTGAAGGTCCTGCCTTTCAGACCTGCGTACGGCAGAGGTCCTGCTGCTTGGACCAGGCTTGGATCAAACAACCAGAGCTCTGTCACGGAGCCCTCACCCCCGTGGCTCTAGGCAGCACTTCCAGATTTGATAACAGAAGAGGAAAAGGCCATATGGTGAGGAAAATAGGGGAGCTAAAACAATGAGATGTGGTATGGTAGGTTGTGGAATGAGGAAAGCCTCTGAAGCTGGAAAAGGCAAACAACATATTCTATCCTGAACCTTCTAGAGAAATTATCAGCCTAGCTCGCACCTTTATTTTAGCCTGGAAGACTTACTTTGAACTTCTGTTTTCTATGACAATAAAAAATTATCTGTGTTGTGTTAAGCCATTAAATATGTGGTACTATGTTATAGTAGCCATAGGAAACTAATAAAAGTGCCTTAAAAATTAAAACACATTATGCACTGTTAAAAGAGAAACATTTAAAGTAGAAGAACACACTAAAATTTTAAGTAAAATAAGAAAATATATACTATGCAATATGGTTTGGCTCTGTGTCCCCACCCAAATCTCATCTTGTAGCTCCCATAATTCCCAAGTGTTGTGGGAGGGACCCAGTGGGAGTTGACTGAATCATGGGAATGGGTGTTTTCCATGCTGTTCTTGTGATAGTGAATAAGTCTCATGAGGTCTGATGGCTTTAAAAAATGGGATTTTGCCCATTCAAGCTCTCTCTCTTTGCCTTCTACCATCCATATAAGAGGTGACTTGCTCCTCCTTGCTTTCCTCCATGATTGTGGGGTTTCCCAAGCCAGGTAGAACTGTAAGTCCAATTAAACTTCTTTCTTTTGTAAATTGCCCAGTTTCAGGCATGTCTTTATCAGGAGCATGAAAATGCACTATCAGGAGCATAATTGATATGAGTCGAGTGGGGCATTGCTGAAAAGGTACTCCAAAATGTGGACACGACATTGGAACTGGGTAACAGAGGTTGGAACAGTTTGGAGAGCTCAGAAGACAGGAAAATGTGGGAAAGTTTAGAATTTCCTAGAGACTTGTTGAATGGCTTTGCCCAAAATGCTTATAATGATATAGTCAATAAGGTCCAGGCTGAGGTGGTCTCAGATGGAGATGAGGAACTTGTTGGGAACTGGAGTAAAGGTGACTCTTGTTATGTTTTAGCAAAGAAACTGGTGGCATTTCACCTCTGCCCCAAAGATTTGTGGAACTTTGAACTTGAGAGAGATGATTTAAGGTATCTGGCAAAAAATATTTCTAAGCAGCAAAGCATTCAAGAAGTGACTTGGGTGCTATTAAAGGCTTCAGTTTTATAAAAGAAACAGAACACAAAACTTCAAAAAATTTGTAACCTGACAATGTGATAGAAAAGAAAGTCCCATTTTCTGAGGAGAAATTTAAACTGGCTGCAGAAATTTGCATAAGTAATGAGGAGCTGAATGTTAATCATTAAGACAATGGGAAAATGTCTCTAGGGCATGTCAGAGACCTTACAGGCAACCCCTGCCACCACAGGCCCAGAGTCCTAGGAGGAAAAAATGGGTTTCATGTGCTGGGCCCAGGGTCCCTCTGCTGTTTGCAGTCTAGGAGCATGGTGCCCTGTGTCCCAGCCACTCAGCTGTGACTAAAAGGGACCAAGGTACAGCTTGAGCTATTGCTTCAGAGTGGAAGGCCCAAGCCTTAGCAGCTTCCACATGGTGTTGAGCATGCGGGTGCACAGAAATCAAAAACTGAGGTTTGGGAACCTCTGCTTAGGTTTCAGAGGATGTATGGAAATGCCTGGATGTCCAGGATGAAGTTTGTTGCAGGGGCAGGACCCTCATGGAGAACCTCAGCTAGGGCAGTGCAGAAGTGAAATGTAGGGTCAGAACCCCCACACAGAGTCCCTACTGGGGCACCACCTTGTGGAGCTGTGAGAAGAGAGCCACTGTCCTCCAGACCACAGAATGGTAGATCCACAAATAGCATACACTGTGTACCTGGAAAAGTCACAGACACTCAATCCCAGCCAGCCCATGAAAGCAACCAGGAGTAAGGCTATACCCTGCAAAGCTGCAGGAGCAGAGCTGCCCATGACCATGAGGATCCATCTCTTGCATCAGCATGACCTGGATGTGAGACATGGAGTTGAAGGAGATCATTTTGAAGTTCTTGGTTTTTTTTTGTTTTGTTTTTTTTAAGATGATGTTTTCCTCTTGTTGCCCAGGCTGGAGTACAATGACGCAATCTCGCTCACTGCAAACTCCGGCTCCCAGGTTCAAGCAATTCTCCTGCCTCCGCCTCCTGAGTAGCTGGGATTACAGGCATGTGCCATCAGGCATGGCTAATTTTTGTATTTTTAGTAGAAATGGGGTTTCACCAGGTTGGCCAGGCTGGTCTCAAACTCCTGACATCAGGTGATCATATCCCCTCAGCCTCCCAAATTGCTGGGATTTCAGGCGTGAGCCTCCGAGCTGCATTTTGGAGTTTTAAGATTTGACTGCCCTCTTGGATTTTGAACTTGCATGGGGCCTGTAGCCTCTTTGTTTTGGCCAATGTCTCCCGTATGGAATGGCTGTATTTACCCAGTGCCTGTATTCCCATTGAATCTAGGAAGTAATTAATTTGCTTTTAATTGTACAGAATCATAGGCAGGAGGGACCTTCCTTGTCTCAGATGAGACTTTGGACTGTGGACTTTTGAGTTAATCCTGAAGTGAGTTTAGACTTTGGGGACTATTGGGAAGGCATGATTGGTTTTAAAATGTGAGGACATGAGATTTGGGAGGGACCAGGGGCACAATGATATGGTTTGGCTCTGTGTCCCCACCCAAATTTCATCTTGTAACTTCCATAATTCCCACATGTTGTGGGAGGGATCTGGTGAGAGATGACTGAATCATGGGAGCAGGTCTTTCCTATGCTATTTTTGTGATAGTGAATAAGTCTCCCGAGATGTGATGGCTTGAAAAAAATGGTAGTTTGACTGACAAAGCTCTCTCTTTGCCTGCTGCCATCCATGTAAGATGTGACTTGCTCCTTTTTGCCTTTCTCCATGATTGTGAGGCTTCCTCAGACACATGGAAATTAAACCTTTCTTTTGTAAATTTCCTAGTCCTGGTTATGTCTTTATGAGCAATGTGAAAATGTACTAATACACTATGAAACCACAAAAAAGGAGAGTTCAAATCAGAGGACATGCCCTGCAAAAAGAGGATTATTTCTTAATGAATTAGGGTAATTCGTTAGGAATAAAAATCATTTTAAATGTATCTAGTATCAAATTTGAAATGCATAAAGCTAACATTGATAAAGGAAAAACCAACCCTCAATTATAGTTAGCAATTTTAATATATCCTTCTCTGTATTTAATAGAGCAGTAGTAAAAAATAAATAAGGATAGGAAGATTTGAACAAAACTATTAATAACTTCACCTTATCGGTTTGCATTGAACATAATATTTAAAACATATACTTTTCTCATAAGTACATGTTAAGGCACATAGCAATTCTTACTAAATTTTCAAGACTTAAAATAATACAGAGGAAGTTTCCTGAATTAAATTGAAAATAAATAATATTTATAAGTGGAAAATTTTAAAAAGTTCAAAATTAAGCATAGTATTTGTTAATAAATCATAGGCCAAAGAAGAAATTAAAATAAAAATTAGTGACTGTTTTGACCTTAATAATAATAAATAAAATAATATTAAATAATATAAAAATAATAAAAATAACAATGTTTTGAAATATATAAGAAGCAACCAAGTTTTGAAACATGTAAGATGCAACCAAGGCAGTGTTAATAGTGATTTTTATAGTCTTAAGTGCCTGTATTATGAGGGAAGAAAGATTGACATTTAAGAAATTATATTTTTATCTCAAGAAGGTAGAAAAAGGAAAAGACTCTTTCTCTATATGGTCTTTGTAATTTATTATAAAATGCTATTGAAATGCAGTGGGTGCAAGTATAATCTGTCCTATAAATGGGTCAGTTGTGTCAATAAATTTTAACAGTCATACAATAAACAAAATTTAAGTCCCCCAGATGGTGATTAAGTATAAAATTAATGAGAAAAGCAATAAACATTTTTATGGAAGAAAACATAAAAGCTTATCTTGAAGAATTTATGTTATGATAAAATTAATTTAAACATGTCAAAAAAGCGCCAACTTTAGAATAGAATATTTATAAATTGAGTTTCATTAAAATAAAGGACATGTGTTCATCAAAAGATAATGTCAAGAGAATGAAAAGGTATAATCTACAGAACAGGAAAAGGGTTTTTCTTTAAAATACAGGGTTTTGTTTGTTTGCTTATTTATAAAAAGCATTCCCACAAATTAACAATATAAAGAAAAACATTTAAATTTTACATCCCAAATTGGACTAAAACATGGCAGAAACATATGCAAATAGGCATGTCATACATGCAAAGATGGTTAAACACCATTATTATTCATATAAATGCAAATTTTAAAATGGCGAAATACCACAGTACCTAAAATTATAAGGATAACGCCCAAGTGATGGTGGTAAGAATGTGGACCAAATGGAATTCCCATACTTTCCAGATGAGAGTATAAAGTAATACAGCCCTTGTAGAAATCTGTTTGAGTGTGTTTATTAAACTGAACATAAACAACTGAACATAAATAGTGTTTAGAGTATACTAAAAACCAGTAATTCTTCTTCTTATTAGATATATTCCCAGAAAAACAAGAACTGTGAATAAACAGCAAAAGTGGGAGGAGATATTTCACAGCACCATTATCCACAATAGCATCGAACTGAAAGTAATCCAATTCCACATCAACTATAGCATGATTTTTTTAAAGTGAAATATTCCTACAGTAGGATACTACACATACACAATTCAAAACAAACTATAAATCATTTAATATAGATGCATTTCACAGAGTTAATATTGAAAACAGAAATGCCCAACACAGGACGTACATTTTATTTACATGAAGTTCAAGAGTAGGTAAAACCTGAAGCTATGATGTTAGAAGTCAGAATACTGGATACAATGTGTGGTTACCAATGTACAAACTGGTACACAGAGGCTATTTTGCGCTGATAATGTGCCATAATTTTATAAAGATTTAGTACATTCCTCCTGGTCATGATTATTTCCACATCTCATAACTGTAATGTTTTTTCTAAATTATATATTTTTATAGGTTACCACAAATGTTTGATATATATACATATATATAAATGTCACATAACAGATATACAGATGTTTTGATATATGCATACATTGTGAAATGATTAAATCAAGTTAATTAGCATATTCATCTTCTCATATACTCATTTTTTTGTGTTGAGAACATTTAAAATCTACTCTAGTAGCAATTTTTAATTATACAGTATGTCATCATTAACTATTGTCACCACATCTCCTCATTCTCATCCACCCTAACCCTGGGAACCATCATTCTATTCTCTATTTCTATGAGCTTCACATTTCCAGATTCCACAGATAACTGAGATCATATAGTATTTTTCTCTTCACCTGGCTTATTTTACTTAGAATAATATGAAGTTCTAAATGAGAAATTAGTTAAGATAAAGAAACAAAAGGTATACAAATTGGAAAGAAAGAAATTAAATTATCTCCCTTTGCAGATGCTGTGATCTTGTATATAGAAAACATTAAAGACTCCATGAAAAAGCTGTCTGAATTAATTCAGCAAAGTTTCAGGATACAAAATCAACTTACAAAAAGCAGTAGCATATTTATACAGTATAATCTACCTGAAAAAGAAATCAAGAACATAATCTCATTTACAATAGGATAAGAAATACATAGGGACAAATTTAACTAAGGAAGTGAAAGAACTATATACTGAAAACTGTAAAACATTGACTACAGAAATTGAAGACAACAGGAAAAAATTAAAAATCTAATGTTGATGTAGTAGAAGATTTAATAATGTGAATACGTTCATACTACCCAAAGAGATCCACAGAGTCAATGCAATGTCAAATTCCAATGACATTTTCATAGAAATAGGAAAAACAATTGTAAGTCTATACGGATCTGCAAAAACCCCTAATATCAAAAAAAACTGATCAACCAGAACAATGGTGGATGGATGTATCACACAACCTGATCTCACAATTTACTACAGATTTATAATAATCAAAACAGCATGATATACATAGAGATATCTATAACATGATAGAAAGCCAAAAATAAAATCCATACATCTACAGTCAATTTATGTTTAAGAAAGATGCCAAAAACACAGAATGAAAATAAGTATTTTTCATGAAAGAGAAAGACTATGAAAGAACATAACAATTGCTACGTATGTCAATAATTTAAGTGTTTATAAAATAAAAAAAGATAATAGATCAAAATTGTAATAGTAACTCAATCCATCTATGTTGTAGGTAATACCATTTTCCCATTTAACATATAAAAAACTAAGGCATAGGAATATTAAATATAGATGAGATATATAGTCAGCGGCAGAGTCAGGATTTAAACTGTTGCATTTTGGTGCTGGAGTCTATGCTCTTAGCTATTATTTGCTCTTTCCTTTCTCAGTCTTCATTTCCCTTCCATTTTACTGTCATTCAAGTTTCATTTAGAACTATTTCACAATTTATATTTTTCTGTAATCTTGTTCATTTTTATGCCAAATACGCTAATGTATTGTTATCAAAGATGAATATTTAATACAATTTTAAGTAAAATTTTTAGTATCTTTATATCTGCCTCCAGTTTTATCATGTAAATACATTGTATAAAAATTACCAGCTACATAAAGTTGTGATAAATTTACATTTTTATTAATAATATTAGTAGCAATAGTAGTTGAGATACTTCATAATATGGTGGAAATGTTACTTTATTTAAATAACACTTTGTGGTCTTTCTACATACTATTTTGTTACACTCTATTACAAGTAAATTTACTAAACGTCTTTTGTCACTCCTTGATATACTTTTCGTTGCTATTAGCTGTCTGTACTGTGCAGCTCACAGAGCGATTATAGTATTCCCATTATTTAATGTACATGAAGGCAGTCATGATTATGATTGTGAGTAGATCATGATTATGGCATAAAATATAACAACTTATTACAAATACTATTATTATATTAAGAGCTGCTTCATTATAGTAATCTTGATTATGAATGGAGATATTTTCTTTTTAATAAAAAATATTATACATATATATGTGTATATATGTGTGTGTGTGTGTATGTGAGTGTGTGTGCGTGTGTGTGTGTGTTTTATAATACAGATAGGGTCTCACCATGTTACCCAGGCTGGTCTCAAACTCCTCAGCCCAAGTGATTCTCTGGCCTCAGCCTCTCAAATTGTTGGGATTACAGGCGTAAGCCATTATGCTTAGCATAGTATTATCTTTTTAAATTCCCGTTTCTCCTCCAACATTATCTTCAAAACCAGTCAAAGGGATTGGTACTAGATCTGACAGGGCATGGTAGAACTGAATGGGAGGAACTTACCTTGTCATAGCTCAGATGAAGATTAGATGACAGCTGTGCAAGCTAGGGCCCTGATGTATAATTTGACATATACTTTTAACTACAAAATTTTTTAATGTCATATTATTGTTAAATATTTCACAAGTTTCTCTGTCTCAGAAATAAATAAAAAAAACTTTTCTAAAGAAGGACTATTTCAACCTGGGGGACCCATTTTTAAATTATTTAAGCAAAATTAATTGGTAGATAATTTATAAAAATAAGAAATCGTCAAATTCCTTAGGGGTGGAGTTTGGCAGAGAAGTGATAAGTGAAGAACTCACAATTGCCTTGGATTGTGCATATACTAAATTTTTATTAGAGTCATATTATTCTGATAGCTATGCAGGAGATTCAAATGTCTTACCACTGGAGACAGTCATAAATAGGCAATACAGCACAAGTTTTCACATAATGAGCATAAATATCCTTCCAAAGAGAAAATCATAATCTAGCCTGCTCTAATCAAGTCTGCATTGTTGCATAAAGAATGCTAAGCAGCTGAGTATGAGGAAATTTTGTTGAAAGAAAACCAGAGATAAATTATTTTGTAATGTTTTTCAAAAACCACTTTCATTCCTAGCTATTCAGCTAAAAGTAATTATAAGTTATAATTTATAATTAAGAGAGTCTGTATTCTTACTAATAAAATTCTGAAATGAATTAAAATAACTGGAGATGTATCTTCTTTCTATACAGTCAAATCTAAAAAGATTTTTGTGAACTTCCAAATGTACTAATAAATATTGACATCTTTTAAAGCATAGAATTTTTAATATTAACTTCTCATTTGTATAAAGGTAAAAAGGGATATTTAATGTGAAGTTTACTCTTTTATTCTAAAACAAAAATAGATATCTGACTCCAGAAGATACTTAGCAGAATTTTATTTGTAAGCGTGGTCAGAATTTAAAAAAAAAAAAAGCCCTTTAAACAGTAAGAGGAAATCTCTCCTATGAGAAAATCTTTCTCTTACTCTCATTTTTTTCATGGACATCAAAATTTGATATCTACAGTAGTTGGACAGATATTAACTTAGGCCTTTTCAAATCTCTCTTTCAAAGAAATATAACAGAAAGCCACATGTTGTGTACCTTGAATAAATTTATATTCTTGTTAAGCCTCTTTCAGGGAAATAGATGTTACTAACATTTATCCTGCTTATAGATAAGTTAAATGAGGCACAGGACACTTTATTTCATTTACACATTTAATAAAAATTAGAAATCTCTGAGGAATCTGGTGAGGTGGTAGAATCAAATCATATTTAGTAACTAAAATTGAAAAGGTATAGTAATTTACTAGATATAAGGATTAAGAGAATATAATAGTTTATGGTATTCAGAATTGGGACTGGGGCGGTTGGGTTTTTTGTGGTTTCATTAACCAAGAGAGGAAATAGAGGATGGGAAAGCATGATATTCTTGATGAATTCAAAGGTTGAGTGAAGAGTGCTTTGTTTATGTGAATGCCTCAATGAGTTTTAGTGCTGCCATGACATCAAGTAACAAGATTATGCCCAAATGTGACATTCCTTTTGACACCAGTTAGCATCCACAAGGGCTGGGTAGTGAAGGATCAGGAAGCTGGGGGTAAATTTGATTATGTAAATGTTGACTTTGCAATGCCAGCAAAACTTCTAGTAAAGATGACCAGACAGCAGCTGTTCAAGGGGAATATTACAATACTTTCCTTACATTAAGAGCATAGGCTTTGTCATTACACAAACCTGTGTGTGAAAATAAATAGCTTTTGATATGATTCAATTACTTAACCTCTTTGAAACTCGATTTTCTCATCTCCAAAGAGAAAAATAGTAGTGCCTAGTTTAAAAGGTAATGTGAAGTTCAAATAAGAAAATAAATTTAAAGTACTAATGCCATATATAAACTTCTAGATCATAGATTTAGATTGCAAATGGTTATTGACTTATGAATCATCATAACATAGTCATTGTTTGAAGTCGGAGAGTAAATGAGGTGATTAAGAGGGAATACGGGTTTAAATTCTTGGAAAATCAGGCTCAATATTTTGGTCTGAGCTGAAGAGGATTCTACAAAGGAAATCAAAAAGAACAAAAATTGAGTTAGAAAAAAACAATTAAGAAATAAGTAACTGGGAAGGACACTATTTTATGAGTGTATAGATATACACTTTAAACATATATTTATAATGTTTAAAATTAATATATAAATAAATATATATACAAATTTTATATACATAAATACTAATACATATAAAATATTATATATAATATTATATATATATAAAAAATGTTTAAAGTGTCCCAATTTTACAAAGCAGCCAAGCAATAAAGGCACTGAAAATAGGGAATCCAGTGAAAGGAATTAAGGGATCACTGGTGTCATTTGCCAATGGATTGCTTTGAATGGAAAGCAGCTTGCTGTATGTTAGAGAATGGATAAAACGGAATAGGTAATGAGTGGAGTCTTTTCTATGAAAGAACTTGGATACAAAAAGGAAGAAAGAATAAGGTGATGATTGGAGAGAGGCACAGCATGAAGATGTGGTTTTTGTATGTACTCACAAGTGTGATATCAGAAGGGAAAAGTTAAAAGTCCAGTAAAGTGAGATGATGCTACTCAGAATAAAAGAGTACATTAGACAAAGATCACAAATGGAAGTAGTAAATAGGAGACTAGCAGAGAGAAGAATTCTTACATTTCACCTAGGATATATTTATATTTATGGGAAGATTCACCTCTTTTTTTTTTTGTTTTGCCTCTGAAGCAAATCATCTGCTGAGAATGTGGGTTATGAAGAAATATAAGAAGCTAGCAGAAAGATCAGTGTAGTTCTACCACTCTCAAGGAAACTTACTTATATATATTGAAATTTACTTATTTTAATATTAAATCTATAATAACTATGATATTTTAATAACTATCACGGAAATCAGTTCCAGTTTGAATCATTGTTCCTGAGGAAAAAAATGATAAATTTTATAAATTACTTATTATAATTTTGAATTAACCATTTAAGGCTTTTCTTTTCCGTATCATAGACTAACAGACTCTATTGGTTCATATCTATTGGCATTAAATAATGAGGTGAACTGAACATATTCAGGTAAACTCAATTCAATTATTAATAAAATAATATGTATCTTACAAAAATTAGTGGATTGATGAATATAAATACATTCCTCGGTGCATATTTTGTAGTTACAAATGTATTTTTGTGATTGTTTTCTTGTAATTTTTAATTCTATATTCTAATCCTAATATGTTGATCAGGTCCAAACCTGATATTGAAAACAAAATACAAGATGAGCAGTATCTTCTATTGAACATTATATATTTATTAATATTTCCAAATTTAGGCAGGCATAAATGAACATTGTAATATTGAAACATACAGATCTGACAATTGTTTTACTGAAACATAAATAACATAATATGTTTAGTTAATTAGTCAAAATGAAGCATGTTTTTCAAAAAGACATACTGTGAAGCACAGAATAAGACAAATTCAGTTAGAAATATCCACTAATGCAAAAAGAAGCTGTTTGAAATTCTGTTATAACCTTTTATTTTTATGCAATTCCAATTCTGTCACCAAATCCATACATATGATTCCTCTCTGTCAAGGCATACACAAACACCTGAGCATGATTCTAATCCACTCTATAGCAATTGCAATAGATATGTTTTTAGAAATAGTTATGAATGGCACCTATATTTCTCCATTAAACCAGCCAGTTCAAAAGTAAATTTGGGTTGAAATATTTATTGGACTGCTTAGCTTTTAAGAAACAAAGCACAAAAATTTTATGTTTATGTATACTGGCCTGTAACACTGCAGTTTTTTTTTAATATTTGATTTTTTTTCTATGTATGATACCCAGGGATTTATTTTTGTTTGCTATATTGGTATATGTTTTGAAAATATATTTTCCAGTTTATTGATAATAATAAATACAAAGGGACCACCTTTCTGTCTTACTAAAATTATTTTTATCAGAAATCATGTTTTACGGTATTTAAAAATAGTGTAATCTATAAAATTTTTAAAATGTTAAAAATAAATTCAGGTTACTTTTGCCAGTTACCTTTTGTTTATTTCTAAAAACAGAAAAAAAGTATTTAAATATTAATCTAAATAATCTGCAGATTATAAATGATGATGATAGACATGGATTTCTGGATACCCAAACGTTAAGTACAAAAACAGTTATTACATATTTATGAATTTTTAAAATCTGCTCAAATATAACACTGTATTCAAAGAAAATACCTTTGTCTACATTAGGGATGTTTTTAGAATCCCATGATACATGTTTGTTCTGGCTTAAAATAACAAACTGATTGATGGGCTATCATTATGTGAGTCAGGGAACTGGAAATCCTAAACACTTATTTCCCTCTTTTCTTTCATTGTTAATTTCTAAATCGGCAACTTTTCAACAATTGTGTCTAAAATGACATAAAGCATAATATTTGCAAGGGTTAAAACAAGGACATTCTTTGAAATTGTATGTTTACATAAGAGGAAGTTTAAAATAGAATTACTATCTTTCACTGCATTATAATCTCCTACCTCTAGTACTTTTTATATGTATTTTGTTATGTAATATTTGGTGCTGATTTTTATTTAGATACTATTATATGGAATTAGCAATAATTCCATTTAGTTCATTTTAACTATGGAAGGGAGATAGAAGAAATAAAGAATAAGTTATCATTAATTTTTTTTTTTTTTTGAGACAGTGTCTCACTTTGCCACCCATGCTGGTGTGCAGTGGTGCAATCATGGCTCACTGCAGCCTCGACCTCCTGGGCTCAAGTAATCCTCCCACCTCAGCCTTCTGAGTAGCTGGAACTACAGGTGCACAACACTATGTCTAGCTAACTTTTGTATTTTTTGTAGAGATGAGGTTTCATCATATTGTCCAGGCTGGTCTGAGCTCAAGCGATCCACCCTCCATGGCCTCCCAAAGTGCAGGGATTACAGGCGTGAGCCACCGGGCCCTGCCTAGTTATCATTCTTGTAGAAGTCTGAGCAGGACAAAAGATAGGAAAGCCTCTTTTGTTCCATTGCGGCCAAAATTTGGAGATCAGAAGAGTTAGGGAGGCCAATCAGGAGCTAAGTTTGTTTACCTTGGCATCCATATGATTTGGGCTCTTTTTTTTAGTGCTATTTATAAGTTCTGCATTATATATAGATAAGATTTTTCAATTTTCCTGGAAAAGCAAACATTTTTAGAGCAGTTATTCAAAGTACCTATGTTGTCCCGAAATATAGACATTCTTTTAATTTAAAATGTGTGTTATGGGAAGAAAAAAAACTGACTTCTATGGCTCTCAGATTCATTCTACAGTTTTTCATAACATATTCACTAAGAAGTAGTTATGTATCCACAGCTCTGAAAACATTTTATTAGAGCTAAGTAGTTCCAGAGACATTTGTCAACTTAATCCCCAGGACAGTGACTAAGCTGCTCCCCCTTACTGTGGTGTAAAATGTCCCCTGGGATCCTGGGTCCTAAAACCATGTACCCTATAAGCTCATAATGTGAATAATTAGAGTTCTATAGTGAAGATAAATGAGCTTATAAATGAGAAGAATATTCTCTTTACTGAGAACTATACTAGAAGTCTGGGTTTAGAACATTCCTTGAAAAGCCAAAATATTAGAATGATGCCATGGTTTCAGCCACTCTACAGCATTGCAAAAAGGCTAGAATTTTTTCTATAATTGCAAAGAGACTCAGATTCTTTCTTTGAGTAATTTATAATTTATTAAGGTATATAATTAAATAATACACATACCTATAAAGTCAGTGACAGATATATACAAACACATAAAATATGCAGTAATAAACCTTTTAAATAAATATAGTTGCAGTAGGCCAAGTAATTAATAAAGCATAAATAACAGAGGACAATAATTATTCATTTGTTATTAGTATTGATAATAATGTTATTGACAATGAGACATTGTAATAAAGTTGGAAAAATTCTATCTTGATAGAGTAATGAGATATGATATGAAAATTCATTAATTATCAGGTTAATTGAATTTGCGACGTCCCTGACTTTCCTCATTACAGGAGTGAACAGAAAACTCATGAGTGGATCTCATTAGACCATAGTAAATATATTTAATTTCCAGGGACAAAAGTAACAGTATTTTTTCTCATGCAGCTGCAATGCAGCTCACTGAGTGCAGTTTGATGTTCATTGGACATAACACATTACTTTCAGGTTGACATTATTGCTCATACATGTTATAATAATGCGAAAATATATAACATCAATACATGTTGTTTGTTTTTCTAGTCTCTTTTTCTACCTTATATTACCAAAAAAATGATTTTCAGATGAAAAAAGCAAACTTATTACTTGTACCATATTTACTTTGGGCTGAAAGTAAATATTAGACTATTCCTAGGTCTGGAAAGTCAAGCTTCAAGAATATGAAAGTCTGATTTGACTCACTGCATCCCATCCCCCAATTCCATTAACTGAACTGCCCATATGACTTTGCCTTCTTTTTAAAATATCTAAATAATAACTATGCTTCAATACCCTCTTTCCAGACTTTTTGGTAGACAATTTTATCATTGAAGGCTCGAATATCTCTAATATCAATACATTATGTGACTTCAAATTAATTAGTCTTTATAATGTTTTTTATATGCCAAGTAGGAATAATATGTTTTTTTCATTCCTATGTTAAATATTTTTGCAATTATATTGAGGCCTAAGAGACTTTAACATTGTGCTTATCTTAACTCCAACTGCCACTTTCTATGTGGCTTTTCTGAGGCTCAGCTTATTTTGGAGTTCATAGGCAAAAAATACCTCCAAATTTTTGGCTCACACCTGAGTTTTCTTCTCTCCAGGACTTTGACCCCTCAAATATTTACTGTACTAGAAATCCTTCATGCTTTCAAAAATGTATTTCTAAAATAATTCCCACCTTTCCTAGTTGTACTCTAATTGAGTTGTTTTTTTCCTTTGTCGACTAATATTTGTTTAAAAAAATAAATTAGAAATACTTTTTCCACTTATGAAAGTTCATTAAAGTTCCCGAAATTATTTAATCTTCGTTCTTCAAGAACACTATTTCATATCTTAAATCTCAGAGAGCCCATGCACTCCTTGTGGGCTTCAATTAGATGTCCACAGTGTTGGGCCGTGAGCGATGGCTCATGCCTGTAATCCCAGAACTTTGAGAGGCTGAGGCAGGTGGATCACCTGAGATCAGGAGTTTGAGACCAGCCTGGCCAACACGGTGAAACCCCGTCTCTACTAAAAGCACAAAAATTAGCCGGGCTTGGTGGTGCGCGCCTGTAATCCCAGCTACTCTGGAGGCTGAGGCAGGAGAATCGCTTGAACCTGGGAGGCAGAGTTTGCAGTGAGTTGAGATTGCCCCACTGCACTCCAGCCTGGGCAATAAGAGCAAAATTCCATCTCAAAAAATAAAAAATAAAAATAGATGTCCACAGTGCTCTCCTTTCTCAATGATAACATGCATCACATGTCTTCTTGGTGTCTGGGCAGACACAGCCAGGCTTCAGCAACTTTTCCTGAGACTCAGATGGGGCAGGGCTTCGTGGAGGCCAGACCAGGCATCTTTCATGCCATAAACAACCACTAGTGCAGACATCCTGAACTATCCCAGCCTTAGCAAATGTGTATTCTTGGATTGCTCTTTGAGGTAACACTAGTGTATCTTCAGCATATAAATAGCACTCACTAATCCATACCACATTAAATTTACTACAAGTTGTGGCCATATTTTATACCTTGTTGAAGTTTTGGCATGTGAAAATGAAGCTACACAAATCAGTCAGAAAATCAATCATGTTATCTGGAGATAGAAAATAATTCATGTATATTAAACTTGTAGCACAAGCCATCATTATCCATTATGAAAGGGAAAATGTTTAGAATCATTGACTCCATTTTTTAAATGAAGAAACTGATATCTACAGGAGTTAATTCTTTTCAGGGACTTAAAAATGTAATGCCAATTACTGAGCTAAAATTTCAGTTTTTAAATCATTTACTATTTTAGTTATATAAGAGCATTGCCAAAGAGAAATTCACAACATTAGAGATTAAAAATCTTCTAGGGTAACTCCTTAATTTTAGAAATAAGGAAACCAAGACCCTGAGAGGTACATTTGAGCAACAGAAAACTAAAACTTATTTTACCTGTTTCCTATATCAGACAGAGCTTGTTCCTTTGAATCTATCTTTTGAAGAACAAATTTAAATCCGACTTGATTTTTTTTCTAGAACAACTTTATGAAAAAGTGTGTAAGTGTTAACAAAAGTGTCATTAAAAATAATTAAGAAAATTGTGTGTAGGCCAATTACAATAAATAAATAACTTGAAAGAGTGAGAAAAAAGAATGAAAAGACAACTTGATAATGAAATAATAATACACACTGCAGGAAAGCCAGTTAATTGAAGGTTTGTCATGACCAGTGAATGCTACTTGTAAATCCTCTTGAGAAAATAATAGCCTGCTAAAAGAAGAAAAATAATCAAGAGAACAAGATTGCAGAGAAGTATAAATTAGCATATATTTGATCTATGCATTGTCAAAATATAATGATCTTCTTAGCTCATAATAGAAGACAACATATCTAAATGGACTGGTTAATTTAATCTAACTTATTGCTCCAAAATATTATAGCAGCCCTAATTAAACTTTTCCTGTGTGTATCAGGCCATCTCCTTTTCTAGACAGCTGATAAGCAGTTTCATTTTAAAATTACACCCGTTTAGAGAATGCCCCATCTTTGCTTTTCTTCAGAATTTCCATGAGTGAGCTGTCATACAGCAGCAATGTAGAGTGTTAGAGGACATGTCAGAACTCTGAGATAGCTACTCAGGTAAGTTTCACTTATTTTTACTTCCTGTTGACCTCCCTGAATATACCATTTTCACTGAATAATGGAATTCTGTTAGGAACATCAAACAATGTGGAGGGACAAATCAGATAATACTTAATTCATATTAGACAGTAAAAAGAAGCATTCATTCATTTTCAACTTGAATCTTGTTTCTATTATTCGGGTAATTGGTGATGGCTGTCAGTAATTCCTGACACAAATATGTGTGTTTTTCCTATTAAGATTAGTCATAAAAATTGTGGGAATCTTGTGAGCCAGAAGTGGACCACATTTCAAAGCTTTATATAGGGTAGCCTGGATTCTGTGACTAGCTTTTTCCTGCTCTTGGCTACACTTTCCATAGGGATTCTTTAGTTCCTGGAGTTGTCTGCTCTAACTACAAACACAGGAATCAAAGCAAGGAATATCTGCTGGTTTCAAAGTTCCACTGAGTTGAGTATGTGATCTCCTCTGGTCAAACTCCATTTATCACATGCCTCACTGGTATAACCCAATGGCATCTGGTGTCTTCAGGAATTCAAGTTAGCTCAGAAACTTTGAAAAAGTCAGTATCCCTTCCTGTAGGTTTGGACTCCTTTCTCCATTCAAAAATCCATCTTTGAATGCCCTGAAGTCAAGTCAAAGGTAAACAGAAGGCAAGTTATGGTAAAAAAAAAAAAAATGTGGTTTTATATTAGCATACTAGGATCTGTCCTCAAGCTAAATAAACTGCTGTTTATTGGAGGACCTTAAGTCGAAGAGCTGACTCAAATCTGCAAAAACGGTGAGAAACTCTGACTTGGTGGTTCATTTTCTTCCTGCAAATACTTTCTTCATCTACTTATACCAAATGATATATGGCTCTTCAGTGTCCTTTATAGAATCTTACAATTGGTATTCATGGACATATACTCACACACACACACAAACACACATATTAGAAATATATGGTAACCCATGCTGGCATGCTGAAAGCAGAATTTCTGGTAAGTGCTACATTAATAATTGAAATAATAGGATAAACACCATGTAATAAAAATAAAATACACACAAACTCTGATTCCTAATTATATTTTTTCACATTTTAAATAATATAAATTAGCAATTTTCTAAAATTTTTATTTGCTTAATCTATACTACCGTACCTGATAAGCTATAGGAACAGGATAGGACAGCTATCTGGAGTCTAAGTAGCATAAAATACTCCCTATCAGTGTACTGCTCCTGTAACACATAGATCAAAATCATTTTTCTGTCTTCATTATCAAGATTCAAAATCTTTGGAATGTCTAATTAGTTTAGTTTTAGCAAATAATTCAGATAGGAAAAGCTAAGCACCTTCATTCTTGCATAAAATGGGAGAGCAGTAATTCCCTAAATGTCTCTTGTCTAAAAACATTTACTGGATTCAAGATGCTAAAGTGAAGGAAGTTAATAAAGGCTCAGGATAATTAAGCGAAAGAAAACTCCCCATTCTCACTTGAATAAAGTTACTTAAAAATAATTTATATTTGACACATATTATTTGTACATATTTATGTGGTACAATGTCATGTTTCAGTACATGTATACATAGTGTAATAATCAAATTGGGGTGATTACCATATACATTACTTTAATCATTAATCGTTTTCTAGTCTTGACAATATGCAAAGTCTAGCTGTCTTCTAGTTATCTTGAAATACACAGTACGTAATTATTTTCTATAGTCACCCTACCATGTAATAAAACAATGAAATTCTTTCTAACTGTAAATTTGTACTATTGACCAGCCTCTCTCTCCCTCTCCTCTCCTTCCCCCTACCCTCCACAGCCACTAGTAACTACTATTCTACTCTTTTTTTTTTTTTTTTGAGAGGGAGTCTCGCTCTGTCCCCCAAGCCAGAGTGAAGTGGCGCAATCTCTGCTCACTGCAAGCTCCACTTCCCGGGTTCACGCCATTCTCCTGCCTCAGCCTCCTGAGTAGCTGGGACTATAGGCGCCCGCCACCACGCCCGGCTAATTTTTTGTATTTTTAGTAGAGATGGGGTTTCACAGTGTTAGCCAGGACGGTCTTGATCTCCTGACCTCGTGATCTGCCCATCTCGGCTTCCCAAAGTGCTGGGATTACAGGCGTGAGCCACCACGCCCAGCCTCTACTCTACTTTTATGAGATCAACATTTTTAGATTTCACGTATGAGTGAGATCATGCAATGTTTGTCTTTCTATGCCTGTTAAGTGACAATTATGTTATTTCACTTAAAAATGTCTTCCAGATCCATCTATGTTGCCACAAATGACAGGAGTTCATTCTCTTTTATGGCTGAATCGTATTCCATTGTGTGTGTGTGTGTGTGTGTGTGTGTGTGTGTATACCACATTTTCTTTATTCATTCACCTGTCAATGGGTATTTAAGTTGATTCCATATCTTGGCTATTGTGAACAGTGCTGCAATAAACATGAGTGTGCACATGTCTCTTCCACATACTGATTTCATTTCTTTTGAATGCTTACCCAGAAATACGATGGTTAGATTATGCGGTAGTTCTGTTTTTAATTTTTTGAGGAATTAAAGAGTCCAAACTTAAAGGAATGGATACTGACGTTTTCGAGGTTTCCATACTGTTTTCACAATACAAAATAATTTATATTCCTACAAGCAGTGTGTAAGAGCTCCCCTTTTTCCACATACTGGCCAACATTTTTGTTATTTTTTGTCTTTTTTTATAATAGCCATTCTAAATGAGGTGAAGTGATACCTGACTGTGTTGTTGATTTACATTTCTCTGATGATTCGTGATGTTGACCATTTTTCATATATCTGCAGGTTATTTGTATGTCTTCTTTAAAGAAATGTTTATTCAGGTATTTTGCTCATTTTTAACTGGATTTTTTTCTGCTTTGAGCTCATTGAGTTCCTTATATAGTCTGTGTATTAACTCCTTGTCAGATGAATATTTGAATATATTTTCTCTCATTTGGCAAGTTGTCTCACTTTAGTAATTGTTTTCTTTATTCTGCAGGATCTTTTTAGCTTATGTAATATAATTTTTTATTTTGTTTCCTGCATTTTTGAGGTCTTATTCAAAAAATGCTTGCCCACTTCAATTTCATGAAGTATTTCCCTTATGTTTCCTTCTAGTAGTTTTATAGCATTAGATCTTGCATTAAAATCATTAATTCATTTAGAGTTTATTTTTGTGTATGATAAGAGATAGGGGTCTGGATTTACTTTCCTGTATGTAGATACTCATTTTCTCAGCATCATTAATTGAAGACACTGTCTTTTCACCAATGTGTGTTCATGGAGCATATGACAATAATTAGTTGGCTATATAAATGAATTTATTTCTGGGTTTCCATTCTGTTTTATTGGTATATGTGTCTGCTTTTACGTCAGTACAATTTTGGCTACTATAGCTTTGTTGCGTATTTTGAAGTAATGCAATGTGATGCCTCCAGCTTTGTTTAGTTTGCTCAAGATAGCTTTGGCTATTCACGGTTTTGCATTTTCATACAAATTTTGGAACTGTTTTTTCTATTTCTGTAAATAATGGCATCAATATTTTGACAGAGATTGCATTGAATCTGCAGATAACTTTGGATAATATGGACCTTTTAACAATATTATTTCTTTCAATCCATAAACAAGAGATATCTTTCCATATAAATGAAAGGAACACAAATAACTGTGTCCTTTTCAATTTCTTTCATCAATGTTTTATAGTTTTCATCATAGATATCTCTCACCTCCTTGGTTAAGTTTACTCCCATTTTTTTTTTTGGTGGCTATTGTAAATAGAATTGCTTTTTTGTTTTTTTTTTTTAGATTGTTCATCGTGGATGTATAGGAACACTACTGACTTTTATATATTGATTTTGTATATTGCAATTTTACTAAATTATTTTATTAGTTTTAACTGTTTTTTGGTGCAACCTTTAAGGTTATATATATATGTATAATCATAAAATCATGTCACCTAAAAATAAGAACTGGCCGGGCGTGGTGGCTCACGCCTGTAATCCCAGCACTTTGGGAGGCTGAGGTGGGCAGATCACGAAGTCAGGAGATCCAGACCATCCTGGCTAACACGATGAAACCCCATCTCTACTAAAAATACAAAAAATTAGCCGGACATGGTGGCAGGCGCCGGTAGTCCCAGCTACTCAGGAGGCTGAGGCAGGAGAATGGCGTGAACCGGGAGGCAGAGCTTGCAGTGAGCTGAGATCGCACCACTGCACTCCAGCCTGGACAACAGAGCGAGACTCCATCTCAAAAAAAAAAAAAAAAAGGAACTATTTGACATTCTGCTTTCTGATTTGGATGCCCTTTATTTCTTTCTCTTGCCTGATTGCTCTGGCTAGAACTTCCAGTAGTATGTTTAAAAAAACTGTTGAAAATGATCATCCTTCTCATTTTCCAAATCTTAGAGAAACAGCTTTCAACTTTTTTCTCATTCAGTATAATGTTACCTGCAACTTTGTCATACATGGCTTTATTGTATTGTGAAGCATTCCTTCATTGCCAGGCTTGTTGAGAGTTTTTATTACGAAGGAATGCCAAATTTTATAAAATGCCTTTTCAGCATCTATTGAAATGATCATATGGTTTTCATCCCTGATTCAGTTAATTTGATGCAGATCATTTGTTGTTCTGTTGAACCATCCTTGCATCTCTGTGATTAATCCCATTTGATCATGGTAAATAATCCTTATTATGTATTGTTGAATTAAGTTTATTAGTATTTTGTTCTGGATTTTTGCATCTATGTTCATCAGAGATATTCTCCTGACATTTTCTTTTTTTGTTGTGTCCTTGTCTGGTTTTGATATCAGAGTAATGCTGGTCTCATATAATGAATTTGAAAGTATTCCTTTCTCTTCCATTTTTTGGAATAATTTGAGTAAGATTGCTTTCCATTTTTCTTTAAAGGTTTGGTAGAATTTAGCTGTAGAGCCATCATCAGGTCCTCGACTTTTATTTGATGGGATACTTTTTTATTACTGCTTTGATCTTGTTATTCATTATTGGTGTGTTCACCCTGAAATTTCATCATCATCTTTTCTCATTTTTCAAGGCTATAGTTAGGAAAAAAGTATTTTTAGTTTATTATATAAGTCAATATACCTCTCTTAATCTCTTAGCAAGTAAACTTAATTCACAACTTCTTTTTGTCTGATTCTTCATGGGCTACAACTATATTTTGTCATTTAGAGTAATCAACAAAGGTGTCTAGGTTATCAAGATCATAAAATTTTGCTACCAATAAAAGAGAAGCAAAAATTCAAGGGCTATCTTCATCAACAGCAGCAGAAGAATTAGCATTTTTAAAAAACAGCAATTTTGAGCGTCTACTAAATATTCTTTAAGGGTATTACATACTTTTTTTTGTTTTATTCTCAGAATAGTCCTATTAAATAAATACAGATAAAGAAATTGGGATTTCAAGATAAATGGACACATATGTTACATCAACTGTGTATGACACATAGCTAGAGTTACCTACATAATTATGTGTAGCTCATAACATACATAATTTGCACTCCCCAGCTAATGTGTTTTGTAAGTTAGTTCAGCAATTTTTTCATGAATAATTAAACTTGATGGCTCTGCAAAAAACACTCAAAATGTTTGCACCCCCAGTAATAATGTCAGATACTATATTGAAATATATATGTATATTCATTAAGAACTATACAATTTTCTTTAATACAGCAAATTCCCAAACATTTTATTAATAAAATGGATTTAGAAATACAGATTTGAAAAGCCAAGGTAGTTTTTAAAGTCATATAACTATTGATAGCACATTATGAAGTTTATTTATATTTATCAATATAATATATATAATATATACATATATACATATTCATATATGTACATATTCATATATATATACATATACATATACATATATTTGATAGATGGGGTCTCACTTGGTTGCCCAGGCTGGTCTCTGGTCTTAAGACTTCAGGTCTCAAGTCATCTTCCTGCCTCAGCCTCCCTGGTAGCTGGGATTCCAGGTGCATGCCACTGAGCCTGGCTTCAGTGTCATATTTGCTAATATGTTTAAATATTTTACACATTTTTGCCTCTTAGTAAAACTCCATTTGTTTCTTAATGATGTTAAAAGAAAATAAATTTTTAAAAAATCACAAATTCTTAGGAGCTAAGCACATTATCTCTACTCTTAGGCAGTAAGTAAGACAATTCTCTGATATACTAAAGATCTTCGGTAAACACAAGTCAGTTTTCAATAAGAAACATTTACCCCTGAAATATCCAGTCACACTTAAAATAATATGTGCCCAAATGTAGTTTCCTCCCTAATAACATAAATGGATTTATACTTATAAAAAATATTTCTGAATTATTGAGGATATTTTAATATAGGGTCAAGTAGTGAATTGTTTTCAAATGAACTTTTTATTGTGAAAATAATAGTCCACAGCACCCATACTCTAGTATAAAACCAATCTTTTAAATGAACTTTATAAAGAAATACTTTGAGAAATAGAAAGTACCTATCACTGAATTTTGAGAGTGGAAATTCTGTTTTATTAATCATTAAAACATGTTAAGAACCACTGGCTTAGCTAATTTCATAGCTGTTGTTTAGTGTTTTATCTTATTGTCTCGTTTCTTTCCACAGGAAGTGTCAACATTTCAAAGCCGTATTCATCAACACTATCATGCAAAGTAAACTCACATTAACAGATATTGAAAAACATTGAAACTTTTCATATTATCTGAACTAAACATTGTAGAATGAATAGAAGTACAATTATGAAAAGTTAATTTTAAGGCCGGGCGCGGTGGCTCATGCCTGTAATCCCAGCACTTTGGGAGGCCGAGGCAGGCGGATCACGAGGTCAGGAGATCCAGACCATCCTGGCTAACACTGTGAAACCCCATCTCTACTAAAAATACAAAAAATTAGCCGGGCGTGGTGGCGGGTGCCTGTAGTCCCAGCTACTCGGGAGGCTGAGGCAGGAGAATGGTGTGAACCCAGGAGGCTGAGTTTGCAGTGAGCTGAGATTGCTCCACTGCACTCCAGCCTGGGCGACAGAGCAAGACTCCGTCTCAAAAACAGAAACAAAAAAAGTTAATTTTAAAAAATACAAACAAAGCTGAATTTCCAGATCTTTTTCTATTCTAAATTCTATAAAAATTCTAACTTTACTCCTTTTTTTTCTGCTGAATTTACAGTTAAATATTAATATGATTACACTTGCTCTGTTACTTCTTTCCATTCATACTGTAGTACCAGTGTTACTTAAAGGTCACACTTGGCTGGGCACAATGGCTCACACCTGTAATCCCACCACTTTTGGAGACCGAGGCGGGCGGATCACCTGAGGTCAGGAATTTGAGACCAGCCTGCCCAACATGGCGAAATCCCATCTTTACTAAAAATACAAAAAATTAGCCGGTGTGGTGGCCTGCAATCCCAGTTACTCAGAAGGCTGAAGCAGGAGAATCGCTTGAACTCCGGAGGTGGAGGTTGCCATGAGCTGAGATGGCGCCACTGCACTCCAGCCTGGGCCACAAGAGCAAAACTCCATCTCAAAAAAAAAAAAAAAGTCATACCTAATGAATTACTAGTATTTTATAATACATTAATATTGTTTTATAATAATTTAAATGTAAGTTTTAAATGAAAGTTGTTAGTGGTTTATATTATAAATAGAGAAACACGGTTTGTCTACTTCATTAAAAAAACTTCTATTTTGTCCTTTTTTCAGGAGTTAATTTCTTATTTTCTGTTCATATACTTAGAAAAGTCAATTTGACTTTCAAAAATATTAAAACAACTGTAATCCCATTACTTTAGGAGGTTGAGGCGGGTGGATCACTTGAGGCCCAGAGTTTGAGACCAGCCTGGCGAACATGGCAAAACTCCATCTCCAGAAAAAAATACAAAAAATTAACTGAGCGTGTTGGCACACACTTGTAATCCCAGCTACTCAGGAGACTGAGACATAAGAATTGCTTGAACCTAGGAGGCAGAGGTTGCAGTGAGCCAAGATTGTGCCCCTGCACTCCATCCTGAGTGACAGAACAAGACTCTGTCTCAAAAAAAAAAAAAAAAAAAAATTAAAACAAGCATTTGTGACATGGAAATACAATGAGTTGACTAAAGCTGTTCTGATACAAAATATTGCTTGACTGTTAGACTTACACATTGGGAGATAATCCTTTGTGAGTCTCTTTTGTTTCTTTTGTTTCTGAATGTCTTCTGAAGAGTTAATTATTTATAAATTTTGTTCCAGACTCTCTTTTCAAGGACCATGTATATCAATGGTCTTGGAAGATACAAATAGTAACTCCTCATGCAGATTTGTTTCATTACCAGAACAATATTCATAATGTCTACATTATCTATGTAATGTCTATAATAACTTTATAGATCATGTCTATATTAACTTTTGAGAGAAAGTTTGGGAAGTTTGGTTATCAGCCACCTTGGAAAACTGATGGTCTTCCAAACTTGGAACTCTTCAGTTTTGATAAAAACCTGTGTGTGAAGCATCCCCATACACCCATCTTTTTATTGCCCTCATTAAATGTGGGGGACCAGTAGGACGAATGTGGACATTAAGCTTAAGCTGATGGTGGTGGCTGCCCATCTGCAGCAGCCACTGCAGTGATGGCATTGGCAGCAAAGGAGGTGCCACCAGGGCTGTGCACCCCATGGAGCCAGTGGAACTGGGAACAGGCAGGAGTCCCACCCCCTACTGAGCTGGCAGGGCAGGAACTCCACATTCCCAATCACAGCTTCAGACACCTCACCAAGGTTCCAGATCTGGGCATCTCTGTGCTCTCAGGAGCCAGGGAACCACCCCCTGTCCCTACAGGCTCAGAAGTGTCCTCTCCTGCTAGCTGGCCTTTCCCCACTCCTGGTGCCTGCTCTAATTTTGTAGCAAAGGTGGAGCTGATCGCAGGGGCTGTTGCAACCTGGCTGTTTGTGCATGCACTCAGGGTGGTGCTGATTTGCCAGCTCACCTCCCTCCTGCCGTGGCCCCCTTCAGACTTTGGGCACTGATGAGTGTGGGAAGGAGGCCACGGTGGAGCTGAAGGTGGCTTAGTTTGGGCCTGCATGCATCCCTCAGCAGGGACAACCTGGACACCATGATGGTGACAGGAGGCAGACAGGTTCCTGGGCAGAAAGGAGTGGATACCCAGTGAAGCCCCAACTTCAAGCCAGGGAAGACCTGAAGACTGGCGGCCAGGCTGCCAGTTTCAGGTGAAGTCCACATTCATGAACCAATCAGCATTTACTTCCTCCCTTCTGAGTCCATAAATACCCTGGACTCAGCCATTGTATTAGTCCATTTTCATGCTGCTGATAAAGACATATCCGAGGCTGGGCAATATGCAAAACAAAGAGGTTTATTGGACTCACAGTGCCACTTGGCTGGGAGGCCTCACAGTCATGATGGAAGGTGAAAACATGCCTCACATGGTGGCAGACAAGAGACAAGAGCTTGTGCAGGAAAACTCTCATTTTTGAAACCATTGTATCTCATGAGACTCATTCACTATCACAAGAACAGCACAGGAAAGACCCGTCTCATGATTCAATCACCTCCCACCATGTTCCTCCCACAACAGGTGGGAATTGTGGGAGTTACAACTCAAGATGAGATTTGGGCAGAGACACAGACAAATCAAATCATTCCACCCCTGGCCATTCCCAAATCTCATGTCCTCACACTTCAAAATCAATCCTGCCTTCCCAACAGTCCCCCAAAATCTTAACTCATTTCAGCATTAACTCGAAAGTCCACAGTCCAGTGTCTCATCTAAGACAAGGCAAGTCCCTTCCGCCTATGAGCCTGTAAAATTAAAAGCAAGTTGGCTACTTCTTAGATACAATGGGGTACAGGCATCAGGTAAATACAGCCATTCCAAATGGGAGAAATTGACCAAAACAAAAGGACTATGGGCCCCATGCAAATCTGAAATCCAGCAGAGCAGTTAAATCTTAAAGCTCCGAAATATTGTCCTCTGACTCCATGTCTCAAATCCAGTTCACACTGATGCAAGGGATGGGTTTCCATGGTCTTGGGCAGCTTGGCTTTGCAGGGTACAGCCTCCCTCCCATCTACTTTCACAGGCTGGCTGGCATTGAGAGTCTGTGGCTTTTCCAGGCACATGGTGCAAGCCATTGGTGGATCTACCATTCTTGGGTCTGGGGGATGGTGGCCCTCTTCTCACAGCTCCACTAGGCAATGCCCCAGTAGTGACTCTATTACTCTGACACCATTCCCACATTTCCCTTCCTCACTGCCCTAGCAAAAGTTCTCCATGAGTGCCCTGCTCCTGCAGCAAACTTCTGCCTGGGCATCCAGACATTTTCATACATCTTCTGAAATCTAGGTGCGGTTTCCCCATGTTGGCTAGGCTGGTCTTGAACTCTTGGCTTCAGGTGATTCACCTGCCTTGGCCTCCCAAAGTGCTGGGATTACAGGAATGAGCCAGTGTGCCTAGACACAAACCTCAATTCTTCACTTCTGTGCACCTGCAAGCTCAACAACACATGGACGCTGCCAAGGCTTGGGGCTTCCACCCTCTGAAGCCATGGCTCGATCTCTACCTTGGCCCCATTCAGCCATGGCTGGAGTGGCTGGGACACAGGTCACCAAGTCCCTAGGCTGCACACAGCACGGGGACCCTCAGCCCGGCCCACAAAACCATTTTCTCCTAGGCCTGTAGGTCTGTGATGGGAGGGATTGCCGTGAAAACCTCTGACATGCCCTGGAGACATTTTCCCCATTGTCTTGGGGATTCACATTCAGCTCCTTGTTACTTAAGCAATTTTCTGCAGCTGGCTTGAATTTCTCCTCAGAAAATGGGTTTTTCTTTTTCTATTACATTGTCAGGCTGCAAATTTTTTGAACTTTTATGCTCTGCTTCCCTTACAAAACTGAATGCTTTTAACAGCACTCAAGCCACCACTTGAATGTTTCGTTGCTTAAAAATTTCTTCTACCAGATACCCTAAATCATCTCCCTCAAGTTCAAAGTTTCACAGATCTCTAGAGCAGGGGCAAAATAATGCCAGTCTCTTTGTTAAAACATATCAGACTCACCTTTACTCAAGTTTCCAACAAGTTATTCATCTTCATCTGAGACCACCTCATCCTGGGTTTCATCATATATCACTATCAGCATTTCGGTCAAAGCCACTAAACAAATCTCTAGGGAGTTCCAAACCTTCCTACATTTTCCCATCTTTTTCCAAGCCCCCCCAAACTGTTCCAACTTGGCCTGCTACCCAATTCCAAAGTTGCTTCCGCATTTTCAGGTATGTTTTCAGCAGCATGCTACTCCTGGTACCAATTTACTGCATTAGACCATTTTCACGCTGCTGATAAAGACATACCTGAGACTGGGCAATTTACAAAAGAAAGAGGTTTATTGGACTCACAGTGCCACATGGCTGGGGAGCTCCACAATCATAATGGAAGATGAAACATGTCTCACATGGTGGCAGACAAGGGAAGAGAGCTTGTGCAGGTAAACTCCCATTTTTAAAACCATCAGATCTCATGAGACTCATTCCCTATCACAAGAGCAGTGCAGGAAATACCTGCCCACATGATTCAATCACTTCCCACGGAGTTTCTCCCACAATAGGTGGGAATTGTGGGAGTTACAATTCAAGATGAGATTTGGGTGGGGACACAGTGAAACCGTATCAGCCAGATTCACACAGACATTGGGACTACCTGCTGCAGGAAGGAGCTACCCACTACGAGTCTTCTCTTCACTGAGAGCTGGACACTCCCCTGGCCGACCTGCCTGCAGAAAGAAGCTATCCACTTCAGGTCTCCTGAGAGCTGTTCTGTCACTCAGTGGAGCTCCTCTCTGCTTTGCTCACCCTCCAGTTGTCCACATACCTCATTCTTCCCCGACATGGGACAAGAACTCAGGTCCCACCAAAAGGTGGGACTGAAAGAGGTTTAACACAAATAGGACTGAAACACACCCCTCGCTCGCCACATTGTGGTGAGAAGAGAAGAGCTCACAAGAAGGAGAGAAGAGCTGTGGCCCTTCAGGGAGCCCAGACCTAAGGGCTCCCTGAGCCAGGGCTGTGACACCCTCTTTGGGGCTCTGCAGCTCCTGGCATCTCCAAGCTTCTGGGTACCACTGCATTCCCTGGTGCCCACAGTGGAAGCTGTTTACAGTACACCTGGTTCAGCTGTAGCCTCACACAGAGCTGGCACAAGGGCTGACACCTGGAGCTGCCTGCCCCGTCTCAGGTGGCACACTTGGCTTTGTGCAGAGGTCAAATCCCACGCTTACTAACACACCTCTTGCCACTCTGTGCCTGGCACGCCCTTGGCAGGTATGGGATCTGGGCCAGTAGTGTGGGCCAAGCAAAACCTGCTGTGGAGACTGAGTGAACAAACCCATGGGCCCGAGCAAAACTCAGGCAAATATGCTATTGGCCACAGAGGTTTCTGGCTGGAGAAGCGACACCCTAAGGATCCTGTGACAAAGCTGCCTGCTTTGCTGAGAATGGTAACATTCTTTGTCTCTAATCTAGGTTTCATATTTTTTGTCAGAATCTGTGAAACTGTGGAAGGCTGACTTGTTTTTTTGCAAGCAGAGTGAAAACTCAGATATATCATACTTTCTGATAAAACCCTGAAACTATTTTTTGTACTCATTTGATTCGTACAAGTTTTACCTTAAGTATTTCATTCAAAATTGATGGATTACTTCTATTCACCCTATCTGTAATGTTCTTCTGAACAGAAGATTCAAAATGACAGTGTAGTTACAATTAGTTATAATATACTAATGTAAAACAAGTGAAAAGCAATAGAATAATGTTATATATATTTATGAAATATTCTGTCAATGTAGGTGTAGTTTGATAGTGTAAGTTTGTTGAACATTATGTGATTCAAATAAAAGCTAGAAGTTGCATAATTGTTGAATGAATGAATGAGTGGTAAACGGAACGCTTTTTGGCATTTCGAGTTTTGTGGGAAATTACATAGCTCAACAGTAAAGGTGCGACTTAGAGCTCTACATTCCTAGTGAAAAGGACAGCATGTCAAAGGCAGTGAGGGGGTAACTGAGCAATATAATTCAAATCGATTAATTTGAAAATTGTGGAAAATTAAAATTAGGGGCACTTTATCTTTTTGTATTATATATAAATGTTAAATTTTATATGCAAGAGCCTATTTTAAAAACCTGATATTATGGTTTTTGTGATTTGGTATGATTAGAACTATGAGATTCCTAACAATTCTGAAGAAATAGCAAATATAGTGGAAAAGGGCACAATTAGAGCTCTGACACAGTACTTCAAATGTTAAGAAACTGAGCTAACAAATTAGGCTGATGGCCCCAAAACAGGAAGAAATAATAACTTTTTGAGAAAAGGGTTTAAGCATTGTTTATTTTTCTTCCTAATCATTGTCATTGGCAAGGCATGTGGTCACTGTACATCCAAGTCTCCATATTTGTAAAAAAAAAAAAAAGTCTGCTTAATTTATTCCATAGAATGATTTTGAGGCTCAAATGAACTAATACTTAGCATAGCACTTTGACTAATTTAAAAAGATATAAAGGCTATAAATATTAAACTATATAATTAAGGATTTATTATAATTCCTGACATGTGCAAAGTACTTAATATTACAGTTGTTTTTGGTTACTCTATCATATCACCTTATTTTTGCTTTACTATCACACATATATTTAAGTATTTTTTTCTCCAAACAACCAATTTCAGCATTTCACTTGTCTTTGTATCCTTTTTCTTCTGCATCTGTATGTCTAGATGGAAAACTGCATCAGAAAAGTAAGCATGCTTACAATTTTCATATACAGATCACTAACATCCAGTATCAGAGGACTACCTAAAACATTATAAACACTAAAGACATATTGCCAAAATAATTTAATTTTTACATCTTTAAAGAAGAATTAAACTAGTGAAATGGATTAATTTTGCTTACTTTTTAGCCATAGAGGTTATTTTCTGAAATAATCCTGGTAAAAGTGTTTTATTAAATAAAAGAGTGTGAAATAATGTAGCTGAGTTTTACTAGTTACTTTTACAAACCAGAAATATACAAAATTATAATATATTTTAGAGCTATTGTACTTGTGAACTGTAATGCTTGTGAACATGTATCTGTAAAGTTATAAAAATTTTAAAAATGATAAAAATTCAAAATTAAGAAAGATACAGATTTAATAAATTTACAACTGGTGCCACATTTAGAAACACAAGAAATAAAATGAATCGACCTATATTTTAAGCATACTTCAAGTACATTTGTACTTGAAATGTGAATACTACGTGAAGGAGGAGCTTTCACTTTTACAACAGTAACAAATACTTGCTATGTTCTGGACCCTCTGCTAAGTGCTTTACATGCGCCAATTATTTAGTCAATTGGTGAACATTTAAGATAGATACTACCACTATTTTTATTTTCTATATCAGGAAACAAAACTGCAGAAAAATGAAGTATATCTGCTAAGAATATACAATGACAGAATTAGATGTGAAAACAAAGACTTCGGTTCAAAAGCTTCACTCTTAACCACACTTTATTGTTTTAAAATGTTAGCATTTATTATATAATTACTATAAGCCAGATACTGCTGTAAGAACTTAGGGAATTGTGATTTATCCAACTCCACAATAAACCAATGAGGTAGAAGTTAATAAAATCCCCCTCAAGAAGTGAAGAAACTATGGCATGGAGAAGGTAAATAATGTATTAAATGTTGATTGCTGGAAATTAGCAAAGTTAAAATTCTCAATCAACAATCTGGCTTCATAGAATTACATCTTTACCATGACACTAAACTTAGTTGCATGCAGTTTAAGTGAATTTTACTGGAAAATTTTTAAAGAAATGTAGCTAAAATGCCAATAGAAATAATTGAGTCACAATTTCAGCTTAATGTATCTTCTGCTCAATTTTTTTGTAAACCTAAAGTTGCTCTAAAAAGTAAGATTTATTAATTTAAATTAAAAATACCTGGATAATGTATACAATGAAAAAATAATTAATTAAATAATCACCTCTTTCTTTCTCTTACTTTTTTCTCATTTTTTCTCTCAGTCTTCTTCATTTTAATCTCGACGACACAAAAGCATCTAACTACATGCAATTAAAAAGAATCCATATTTGTTTCTAAAGGATACAATGTTAATTATATGTTCTCCTAAGTTTAATTTTAATTGTACTAAAAAAAATCTTAACATTTTGAATATTTATACAAGTTAGCTATATTAAATAAGTTTTTAATTTAAAAGGTTGAGTGTCTTTAAAAATTTTACATTAATGACAAAAGTGTAAATCAGTTACAGTGGAAATATTTAGATTTGCCTAAGTTGCAGGGCACTAAATACAAGACATTTAATGTTATTTTCAATTATTTGTCACAGTTAGAGGACTAGGCAGTTTTTTTTTTTTTTTTTTTTGAGACAGTCTCGCTCTGTTGCCCAGGCTGGAGTGCAGTGGCCTGATCTCACCTCACTGCAAGCTCCGCCTCCCGGGTTCACACAATTCTCCTGCCTCAGCCTCCCAATTAGCTGGGACTACAGGTGCCCGCCACCAGGCCCAGCTAATTTTTTTGTATATTTAGTAGGGATGGGGTTTCACCATGTTAGCCAGGATAGTCTTGATCTCCTGACCTTGTGATCCTTCCGCCTCGGCTTCCTAAAGTGCTGGGATTACAAGTGTGAGCCACCATGCCCTGCCCGATTTCTTTCACCATTTATAAATGCAAAGTTAAAGTTAATGCTGTATAATAGTGTATTTAAGAAAGTTGGGCACTTTTGTTATTTTCCTTTACTATTTTCTATCTTAGATATGATAAAAATGAGACATTCCTAAACTCAAATCACATAATTAGTAATACCTTAAATATCTAAATTAATTGTAGTGTAGATAGTTAACTGGACGCTTGAATTGACCTTAGAGCAATATTAAAATTATAATTTATCTATAATTATTTTTAATTTTTAGCTCCCTCTGTAGCCTGTAAACATTATCAGATTGGGCACTATTACCATTTTGCTCACTAAATAAGCATTTTTCTAATTAAATGCTTCTTCTGTTTATTTTTACTAGAAGGTGTTACCATTATGTAGACATAGGAGCAGACCTATTGTAATATTTAAATAAACAAATAAACTAAAAACTAGGTATGCCAGTTAAAGACATCAGATGTCCTATGAAATTACATATAATTGTTTTGCTATTAACTATAATTTACTAACTATTTGGACATCTACAGTATCAAAGAGCAATCCCTGATAAATTATTAGGATTCTAAATTTCCTAAGTATTCCCTTCATCTTCAGTAGCAGTTTGGATTCTCTAAGTATACTGTTTAAAATAGTTTATGTGATTGAGAATGGACAAGATATGGAGTATTAGATTTGTTTCCCCACTCTAGGTTTTATATACAAGCACCTTTGTTTTGGAAAAAATACATCAAAAATAAAATTATTTTCCAGTTCTTCTTTGCTCTTTCCTGACAAATGTAGAGAGTATCACCTCTGTGTTTTCACAATTATGGGTAGACCTTTCACTCCTCGCAACCAATGAGTTACACTGGAAGGATGGTAAAAAAGGGTTCATAAAAATTATATACAAATACATTAAAAGTTTTAAACTAAAACATACTTGATACCTTGTACTCTGTTGACTATTGTTCTAAAAAAATTAATGCTCACCTGGAACCTGAGAATCTGACATTATTTGGAGATAGAGTCTTTGCAGAAGTAATCGAGTTAAAATGAGATCCTACTGGATTAATATAGGTCCTTATCCAATGAATGATGTCTTTACAGAACAAGGAAATTTGGATAGACACAGGGGGAGACGGCCATGTAAACATAGAGGCTGAGATTGGAGTGAAGCAACTTGAAGCCAAACAAAGTCAAAACATGAAGTCAAACGATAATTAGGGGAAAAACATGTAACCCATCCTCCCTCAACCTGTAGAGTTGACACAACTCTGCTGACACCTTAATTTTAAATTTTTAGCCTCACAATTTGTGAAAGAATGCATTTCTGTTATTTTAAGCAAGCCAGTTTATGGTGGCTGGCTACAGAAGCCCTTATAAACTGATGTAGTACTTTATCAATCACTTGGTAAGTTATTACTAGTAACTGATAAATTATAAATTATATTCATTTATTAATCTCTATAGCTGTATTTTTATCTTTTATACAGGTCACGGCATTTTCTTTTTGTATGGGTAGTCTTCTCAGAATTTACCATCACCTTGTCTACATAAAACACTAAAAATATGTTCTAACTATAATTTCAATTACTTTTTTTAAAAAGGTA
This sequence comes from Homo sapiens, assembly GCF_000001405.40. Classification (NCBI taxonomy): domain Eukaryota; kingdom Metazoa; phylum Chordata; class Mammalia; order Primates; family Hominidae; genus Homo; species Homo sapiens. Next base: position 131,094,145 of record NC_000004.12, on the reverse strand, counting down.
AGAACTTAAGGTGTAAAAAAATGCATATTAAAGATGTTTCTAGATTTTTTCTGTTTTAAAAAACTATATATTTCTACCATTTTAAAATAATTATAGTTAACATTACTGTTTCTACTAAGACAAGTATTTTTAACCAACTTGCCTTTTTAGTCTCTGCAAAAACTTAGTTATACTTTAATTTTTGAACTATGAGAACACATGGACACAGGAAGGGTAACATCACACACTGGGGACTGTTGTGGGGTAGGGGGAGAGGGGAGGGATAGCATTAGGAGATATACCTAATGCTAAATGACAAGTTAATGGGTGCAGCACACCAACATGGCACATGTATACATATGTAACAAACTTGCACATTGTGCACATGTACTCTAAAACTTAAAGTATAATAATAATAAAAAAACAGCAACTCTCTTTTTGCTCACTTTTTTTCAATAATCAAATTATATAATTATAACATCAAGTTTGACTGTCATAAATAGGCTTTGGAACAAACACAACTGATTCTTAGCAAACATGCAAGTAAACTGGTAGGAGTATAAACTCGAGTGTAGCACATACAATATGCCTTGGGCATCGGTCAATCTGTTCTACAAAGGAAATATAGATCTTTGATGTTCTTGGAAGAAGATTATGTAAAGGTGAGTCAGAAGAGTGACTCCTATATCTTGTGTCTGTGTTTCCATGGGGATAGCAACACCTGTTCATGTGCCTCTCTTTACTACTGAGTGTGAAGAAAAGGAAGAGACTTCTACCCTACCTATGAAATACCATGGATACCACTGCACCTAAAACATAGTAAATGTTCACTCAAATAGATATAAAATAAACATATTAATAACCTATAAATGAATAGATAAAATCATCTACTTAGAATAACCTACTAAACACAGTGGTCGTTATTTGAAAACAGTTGTTAAGGAGGGATTTTTGAAGAAAAAAGTGTTTTTCCCCCTTGCACACATTACATACAGATGTGAATACATGCTGTAGGAAAATCTCTGTCACAGACTTAGTGAAACAGAACAGAGCTCATAAATTTGGGTTTTTCTCTGTTTGAAGAATAAGAAAGTGTAAGAAAACAAAAAATTAGAAAAATTTCAGGAGTCTTTAATACTGACAAAGATTACTTTAGTAATATTAATAAAGCAATGCTATAATTTGAATTGCTCAGAATTATTAAAACTAACCGTAAGGCTATAACCTGCTTATTTGCACTATGTGATTGATGCTCTTTTATATTTTATAGTGATAGCTCCTGGGCAGAAACCTTTGTCAATTAAGACAAATTACTGTGCCTCCTGGATTTCTCTTTTTATGTCTGTCAGCACATTATATCTTTATGGCCAGCATTTATTTCTGTAGGAATATTGTAGCTCTACCAACTTCAACTTTAGAGGCATCTCAGACCATCTAAATAGAATTCAAATAGTCCAGAAAGAACACTATTTTTCCCAAAGAGTTATCTGATCCATGTGTGATTTTATGGAAGAGATTTGAAAGTATGTCTTGCTTTCTTTAGGATCTTCCCCGAAGGCAGATTCACTAAAGTGTTTAAAGAGATTCTACTCTCATGAATTAAATCTTTATATTTCTAGAAAAGAGAGATTGATGGTCAAATATTTTTTTCTTTATAACAATTTATTAAAATGTTGGTTAAAAGTGTTCTTTAAATTGAGACATTATTGATAAATTATTAAAACTTCACATATTATATGTCAAATTAATACTTCAAAGTCTAATAGTAAAGTGAAAGATTCATACATTAATGTGTCAACAGTGTTTTCCTTCACCTGACAGCCCCCAACACCAAAATTATATAACCTTAAATAAAAAAAAAAAACTAAAACTGAACCATAAAATATTTACAGTTTACATATTCTTTTCAGTTTTCTTTTTGGAAATATGTGGCATCAATGCAATGAAGTATTAAGAAAAGTTCAATGAGAAAGCTTTATTAAGATTACCATTTTTAGCATGGCTAATGGCTATGATCTTAAACTGTTAAGTAGTTCCCCATGAACTCTTAAAGAGCTATGCTGCCATCTATTGACAATGCAAATGTCTTTTAATAGTTATTAAGTATATGGTGCAAGAAAACACATTTTTAAATAAAAATAATCTGTATTTGGAAAGTAGGTGTTTTTAAAAAATCCTTTGTATGGTAAATGGGTGATATTCAAAATTATAATACCCTATTTTTTCTTTCAATATGGAAGGCTTATTAACAAATTATATTGTACTAGCAAATTTGCTGAATGTTGCAGATATTTTAAAGCACTACAAGCAAGCAATCTGCAAGAGTTAATGTCTTAACTGTAACTGGGCTTATGCATCACAATATCGTTATGCCGTATTTACTACATTGAATTTAATGGGATTAGCATGCATTATTAGGAATGTAAAACATCGTTTTAAAAAGGTAAACAAGACTCAGCAAAATGGCTATTTGGAGAAGGATAATTAAAAAGAATGTATGATAAAATAATATAGACACAAAAGCATGTTTACTGTTCACGATGTTTTACAATAAGGTGAAAAGCACCTGTATTTAATGTCTGCTGAAGCAGAGGCTTCCTAAAGAGAGCAAGAGAGAACTGTATTTGGACAGTTAGAATTTAAATGGTTAAGCTTCCTTTTTTTTTTCTTTTTTCGAGACGAAGTCTGGCTCTGTCACCCAGGCTGGAGTGCAGTGGCCCAATCTCAGCTTACTGCAACCTCCACCTCCTGGGTTCCAGCAATTCTCCTTCCTCAGCCTCGCAAGTAGCTGTGATTACAGGTGTGTGCCACCACGCCCGGTTAATTTTTGTATTTTTAGTAGAGACGGGGTTTCACCATATTGACCAGGATGGTCTTGAACTCCTGACCTCAGGTGATCTGCCTGTCTTGGCCTCCCAAAGTGCTGGGATTACAGGCGTGAGCCACCGCGCCCGCTGGTTAACCACTTTGAATGCAGGCTATATACATATGTTAGAAGTCCTTCTGAAAAAAATGTTCTCCTCTTTTTCTATTGAAATATTTAGTGGTTTTTAGTAACAGGATGCTAAATGAAGAAAATGTACATAAATATACCCCCTACTTCTACTCTCATAAGTGAGGAAGAGCAGGTTATTTGCCCTTCCTAATGGGAAAATACAATTCCCATTGACTAGGAAAAGTGCTTGACAGAACATTGGGGTTTGAAGGCTTTCTCGGTCTTGGATCCTTATTTTAAGATCTTAGTGTGAGGCTATGGGTTGTTAATGAGAATTCTTAGATATCCTTTGAGGAAATTATCATCATTACCTATCTGATTGGGACAAGTTTACACTAATCAAAATTTGAAAACAGAAGTCATGGAAAGAGGGAAATGGGTTGGTAAATTAACGTCAACACACCCAAAGGAGCTATGTGTTTGTGATGGAGCAGCTAGACTGGAAACCTTTCTGGACTCTGCCACTCTAACTTAAAGTTCATATTCCATTCAGTCGTGTTTACGTATGCAAAGTGAATTAAAAGAGCTATGACTTTGCACTCCTATGTAACAAAGACATTGCTATAGCAGCAGACAAGCCTCCAATACTAGACAGATAGATGTTGTTCATCGCCAACTGGTGACAGTGGCTAGAGAGGGAGAGCTCAAGTGCTACAGGACTTGTCTAAGCAGGATACACAAAAATCCTAAAGTTTTTTCAAAGTTGGAAAAAGTAAAATCCCTTCTCAACTTTTCCCTACCAAAGGCTGACCAACTCTGGATAAAAGGAAATTTTGGTACTTTTTAAGTTTGCTATTCTTATGTTTTTATCCTTTCTTCCCCATTCACTATACTGCCTTTTTGGGGGCAAGGTTGGAGTAAGGAAGGAGTAGGGCAGGGAAACTCTTACTTGACTAGCACATAGGTAATTCAGTGTTGTTTTACTCTGGATAATTCTAATTAAAGCTCATTTTATCTCTCAGGTTTTCTTGGGTGCTTCTTGCAATTATGGGAGTGTAGCAAGTGTGTCTTTTGGCTTAAGTAGTGTTTCTTCTTGAACTGGCTTCTTAATATTGCCCCTCAAATTCTTTAGTTATTGATGTACTCAAGCCTTTTTGGGTGTGGGTACCATCACCCTCTGATACCATTGATACCATCCAGATCACAGTTGTCCCTTTTAAAGCAACTATAGGCTGATATTGGCATTGCAGATAAGCATCAGGTACTTCAACCAGTTCTGGATAATCACATAACATTGACCTCCTATCCAAGGTAGAGCAGGTAATTTGCAAATGTAACCATCTATCCTGTTGCAACAGGCTCATTCCATAAGCATCTCACCCTTTACTTTTTCACTTTTTTTCAGGAGAGTTAGCCACTAGCTCATAGTTTCACATATGATCCAGGACACATACAATATCTTCAAAACCTAAAATGAAGAGTCACTACTCAGCAACCCTCTCCAACCTGAGATGGAAGAATGTTTTTAAAAATAGCACACTCTCTTCAAAGAAACGCTCCAGCTTCCAATAATCTAAACTCTTGCACCATCAAATTGTCGATGGATTAAGAATTGCAAACTGGTTTTAAAGATCTCTTTAAGTATTCTGCATAAAGCATGTAATAATTTAATTTGGAATCTAGGAGCCCATTTATTTTATTTTTGGGTTTTTTTGTGGCCTAAAAATAAAATAACAAAACAACAACAACAACAACAACAACAAAACCAGAGTGTCATTTCGAGATGCTGACACCAGAGTAGAAGGATGTCAGACTAAACATTCTATGATGTTCCACACTGGAAATATGGATACTAAGGTGAAGAAGATTTATGTATATCAGGTATTAAATTATAAAAATAAGAGTATCATGGACACACTCACCAAATCTTTGTATGTTATAGTTTGCTTGGAGGAAACCATCTAAATCTTGAGAAATCAAAATTTTGAGTCAAACCTTAGAACCACATAGTATAAATGTAGAACATAGGAAGAGTTATCATTTGTTGCATACTTACTCTATGTCAATTTTTATGTGCTAATTTGGTATATTAAAATGATTTCATTGAGTAATTACTACTATCTTTACTTTGTGTGGAAAAAAAGACATGAAGCTTAAAGAAATTATTCTTACTATGTCCATTAAAACATAGCTGCTAAATGGTAACTGGAATTTGACAACAAAGACTAGACTTTTTCCATTTTCTACTTTCTGACTTCAAGAGTTGTTAGAGAAGGTCCTGATAAGTTCTAATGATATTAGATATATTGTTGGTTATGGCTTTGATAAAATACAATAAATATATGTTAGATTATTGAAAGGAGCAAGAATGATTCACATTTGCTATTTGCCTTCTGAAGTTGTTATCTAAAGGAGTTAATAAAGTTTTCCTATGACATAATCTATAATTATAACCTTAGAGTCAAAATCCTGATATCCTATAGACTTGAAAATATACAGCTATCCATGTCCTCTAATTTCTACCCTTGTGAGTGATGGCTTTGCCCCTGTAAGACTGCATCAAGAAAACCAGTAGCCAGAATATAGGAATACACCAGGTTCTGAATAGCTAGGTTACAGGAAATGTGTGTTTATCATATTTACAAATCAGCATTACTAACATTATGAACCGAAGAACAGTTTTCATCTCCTTGGCATTCTGAGGCCCATTTATGTAAGCTGAGATTCTTTTTTTGTTTTTTTTTTCAGGTTTAATTATTTTATTCTATTCTTAATTGGCAGATAAAATTGTATGTATTTATCCTGTATTCAAAACAACAGGTGGTTTTGAAGTATGGGTTTTTTTATTTATTTTGCATGTGTAAGCTAAGGATAATAATTACAGTTATTGAAGGTATCTGGGGCTTTTTAGGTATGCTGATACTTAAATAAGAATGTGGGGGATGGATTGGGGAAATAGGTATGTTTTTAGGTATGTTGATACTTAAATAAGAATTTGGGGAAAAGGATTGTCTTCTTTCCTTGGGGAAAGGAGACAAATGATTTGGAGTAAAGTGTCAATGATTGGATTTATAATTATAAAAAGCACTTTCAATTGCACTGCTAAACTGTTTATATTCTCAAGAAGAGTGTGATGTGAAGCTCTACAGTTTTCATTTCAAAAAGAAATAAAGTAGAAATTTTTAGATACAGTATAGTTTCTGTTGTTTTTATTTGATCCATCACCAACTTCTATTGAAAAAAAAGTGACAGATGCCAGTGAAGTTGGAAGCACCTTTAAAAACACCAAGTCCTTGAGGTTTATGTTTTATTGTCCCAGTTGTACCTGCAAACTATGGGAACAGCTAGGTTAATTTTTTATTGAGTTTGTTCTGGAGGGGATGGCCTGAGTAAGACATAAACTTTTTTATTTGTTTTTAAGAGATGATATGGTTATGAATTTAGAACTGATTGAGAAATTTCAGCCTAAAGATGCATGAATGTATTTTCTTTCCCCTCATAATTACCATTATAGTCACTATATTATACATTAAGCCAAATTTTCTAGTTTCTTAGCTAAAACTTATGTGAAATTAACACACTTTTGGAAGTGTTTGCCGGTTAAACTGGCCTCTATTTAAAATACTGTCAAACGCAATTTGTCCTAGTAGAAAAGTCACAAACATTGGATTCAGCCCAAGATTGATCCAAGTCCCAGCTGATCTATTTACTAGTTGAATGAGCTTCATCAAGTCCAAAATCTCTGAATCTCAACTTTCTCATCTCTATAATTCTCGTGAGAGTTAAATACAATATATGTGACTTGATGTGTGACTAGAGAATCAATAATTGGAAGCTGTGATAATTTTGAATATTGAGTGACTCAATTTTATTCTTTATTTGAAATTGTTTGGAGCTCCAGACCTTAACAATGAAAATTATTTTCCTGACAAAACAACATAACGAGCAAGATTGACTCAAAGGCCTCTCTTTGCACAGTTGAGAAAGGAACTTCTGGTTAGATAAGAGACTCTTCATTGCAACTCTAAGAGGACAGAGTTCATAAGTGACTTGCATCACCTCAAAGGTAGAACAAACTTTCTGTTTATCATAAAATAAAATGAAAATTAAAGATTTAAATAAAGGCAATCATTTTACAAGATAATACTTTATTGAGAATTAGTAGGCATAGAAAATAAGTGTTTAGACATTTTAAGCAGACTACCTGAGTTTGATTTCTAAATGACCCTTCTTAGCATTGTGCTCTGTAATTTTAAGTTACACTTAAATGTTCTGTGCCTCAGTTTCTTCATCTCCAAAATCAACAAAAATGAAATAATATGAAGAAAAAGTCAGTTACTACTATAAAATCTTACACTAATATTTTATTCTATATTTGTCAGTAGTAAATGTCCAATAAATATCAGCTATTATCACATTTGATATTTTATTTTTCTTTTGTTTCTATCTATTTCTTCCTATTGTCACCTGTCTCCCAGCCAGAATTCATGATACAGAAAATACTGGTAAACTGGAATGTTAGTGATCATAAAAGCGCAGCTTCTGGTGTATTAATTTGTAATGTTTCTATAATTTATATACAAAGAAATGACCATTTATGAGTTTATTCACTATGTATGGTGGTGTCAAAGTTTTTCTTTATTAATTAAATGTGTTATTCAGATTTTTTTAAACCAGAGTGACACTTTATTCTAATCTTACTGTAAGACTGGAATATTTTAAAATTTTATAGAGTAGTCGTATGTTCAATTCTTGTTTATCGTATTTGCTAGTAAGATGAACACACTGAAGAACGCAGCCATGAAGAGAGGAGATGGGTAATGGGTGCACAGGGAGAACCACCAACTCCTCCTCGTCTGGTACATGTTGCCATCTTGCCTAGTGTTCATGTGTTACCAAGTCATTAGGAGATCTTCCCTCTGAGTTTCACTGTCCACTACCTAATGCTTTATTCTCATTAAAACTTAGAGTATATAATAAATTTAGCATCAAAATCTATCCTCCACTAATGATAATGAGTGTAGAAGGCTTAATAGTCATTCCTAAGAAGTTATGTTTACACCTTAATCCCTGGAATATGTGACTAAAACCTTATATAGCAAAATGTGTGACCAAATTAAGGATCTTGAGAGGAGGGGCTTTTCCTAGATTATCTTGGTGGCCCCACAATTCAATAAGTGTCCTTAGAAGAGTGAGGCAGAGGGAGAGATGACGAAGAGAATAGAAGGAGACAATGTGACCATAAAAGCAGAGATTGAAGTTATAAAGCCACAAGACAAGGAATGCTAGCAGTCACGAGAAGCTGGAAGAGACAAGAAACTGATCTCCAGTGGAGCCTTTGGAGGCAATGTGAACCTGCTGATACCTTGATTTCAGACTTCATGCCTCCAGAACTGGGAGAGAATACATTTCTGTTTTCAGCCAAGGTTGAGGTCATTTATTCTGACAGCTACAGGAAACTAATATGAGTGATTGGATAATTGAAGAACTTTTCTTTGCTAAGACAACAATGAAAGAAGATTAATTCATAAATATATCAATTTATTTCATAATAGGCCATTTTTAAAATAATGACTTCAGACAAAAAACTTGTATTTATTGTTTAAGTGGTGTGTTTCTAAAGCTAATATATCACGACAAAAAGAAAGGAAGTGTGCATCACGGCATATTTAAATGCATGGAGTGTGTGTGTGTGTGTGTGTGTGTATTTTATCAGTGAGAATGAATATAGGAATGACTGTAATCTTCAATTCACAATAACCAGAGGGCCACTTTCTCACTTATGCAGCTGTTTTAAGTGCAGTTGTTGTGGCAACAGAATTTCTAGGTTACTTAAAGGAAACAGCGGTTAAACTACTGTGAGTGTTCATGGAATGTTGAGAATATAAATACAACTAAAATTGAAATTTGGAGAGCATTCCAATGACCACAGGATTATTGATTTTTATTATCACTTTCCAAACACTTTGGAACTGCCGTGAATAAACAAACACTTAGTATATAAACACCCACTTGCATTAGTGGCAAATATCTCCAGAGATGTTAGGGATATGTACAAAGCTGAGTAAATAGACAGAGTGCAGTACTTTTACATGCTTAGAATCTCAACAGAACATCTTTTGGATGAAAATATATAAAGGCATACTCACAGAAATAGCAATTACAATAGAGTATGCATCAGTGAAACACTAGTTTAATTGAAATATTATGTGGCTTGCAAGAACGTAATATGTTCAGAAAAAATCAAACAGGGTAAAAGCAATATCTGTCTTCCTATTATTTCAAAATGTCTTATGAGGAATTCAGGAAAATTTAGAAATTGAAATAAGTAAGCATGTTGATCCCAGAACAATATTTTAGGCAAATGATTAAGGCAAAATACACACACATATGTATATATAGGTATATGTGTAAATGCACATATTTTGAAGATAATTCAAATGATGATTGTAATGAATGATATAAAAATTTTCCTTATATTTACCATATGAAAATTTCAACGCAGAGAAAACTGTGCTGAGTTTTAAATAATCTTACAGATTTGTCTTCATCTCCAGAATGAGAGTCATCTTGGTAGCAAGGGAAGTAGATAGAATTTTTATCTGCTGGGGAAAATATTGATCTGAATATCAAGAACGTAAACCCTGCTTAACTCAACAGCATGAGACTCAAATAACAAAATAAGGCTGCAGAGCAGTAATATGACTCTACCATTACAGATGTGAGTCCCTTCTTTCCCACATAAATATCTCATGCTTTCCTTTTTCTTCTTAATCCGTTTGCTACTTTTCTTTATACTTTCATTTTCAATTTGTGAACTTGTTCATGCTTCATTGAGAAAATATAAATAAACCTAATATTTCTTCATTTTCCTATCTCATGTTTATACTCTTATCTATAGACTTTCCTTTACCAATACCTATAATCTCCTGTGAATGATCCAGTCTTACTTCTATTAATGTTTAATCTCTTCCTTTGTGCTTTGGATCTTGTTTTCTTGTCTTCTCAAGGACACCTCTTCTGCAATTCTTTTTTCCTTCATCCATGTCATTCATTTACTACTCTCCACTGGATTGCTTCCATATGATACCCACATACTATACTACCTTCTATTTTAAAGAAAAGTAAAATAATCGCCTTTACCATTCTGAGTAAATAACTGCTGCCCCCATTTCTTTGCTTTACTACATGAAAAAAAAATCTCTAGAAAGAATTTTCAAAAAGTGCAAACATCAAGACTTTGTCTCAACCCACTTAAATTAGACCGCTCTCTCACATTTCCACTTAAATGACTATTCTAAAAATCATCAGTGTGACCATGTGACCAAATCTAATAGTATTTGATTTTTTATCTTACTGATATTTTCAGAAAAATTTAACACAGTTGATTATTTTATATTCTTAAAATACTCTCTTAATTTTGGCTTTTATTACAATGCACCCCTAGTTTTCCCTAATACTTCAGTAACTCCATCTTCCTTTTGTTCTTTTCTAGCTCCTTCTCCTTTGATCGACATCTAATTCTCACTGTAACTCTCCTCATGCCATTCCATTCATGGTTTTAAATGACATGAGTAACATTATGTAAAAAAAAATTATATTTTTAAGCCCAATCTATTCTTTGAATTCCAGGCTATTTACATGATATCACCACTTAATATGCCCCAATTAATGAGCATGTCAAACTTCACATACACAAAATTAGCTTTTGCTATAAAACTCTACCTTAGCAGTGACCACTTCTCTGCATATAGCATTCAGTTTAGCTAGTTTCTTCAGTCAACAGCCTAGGATCTTCTTTTTCACTTAATCCCCAAATCCCATTGCAAAGATTGAAGAGGTCTGGATATTGAAAGAGCCCACAAGCATACTTCCATAAGACTTTAATGATGACAAAGAGACTGCAGGCAAACACTGGGGGCCTGAGGGATATCCAAGCACAAACTCCCTAGGGTCTTATTCTCACAAGGATACTCTTTTTCTCTAGATTGAACTGGCAAGATTTATATGACAAATTATGATTTCAAAATAGTTAAAGGCAGGATTTCCCAGTAGGATCTTTTCTTTCTCATTGTTGATATAGCCAAACTAGACTGTCGAACCAGTCAGTCAGGTGAAAGCCACTCAGGCCTGGGTGTTCCCAGAGAATATCAGACTACAAAAAGCACATCATAAATCATCCACTAGTTATTCCATTAGTTGTCTTTATCTTTGCCAAATGTCAAAATCAGACATCCAATGTCCCCAGAGATGACCACAAAGCTGTTCCATTTCACTGTAAAATAACTCTTTAGTATATACCCATCTTGCAGAAAATTCTGTTGACTCTGTCTGTAAAATATATCCCTGTATTTCCTGCTAATCTTGGTCAAAATGCCAACTTTTAAAATTTGGATAACCACCATAACCATGTAATTTATTCCATTTTACACTAATTTCCCCAATCTCATAATGCCCTCCACATATTTAGCAGCAATTGAATTTTTTTTTGGCATGGAGTTTTGCTCTTTTTGCCCAGGCTGGAGTGTAGTGGTGCAATCTTGGCTCACTGAAACCTCTGCCTCCTGCCTCCCAGGTTCGAGCAATTCTCCTGCCTCAGCCTCCCAAGTTGCTAGGACTACAGGCACGTGCCACCATGCCCAGATAATTTTTGTATTTTTAGTAGAGACAGGGTTTCACCATGTTGGCCAAGCTGTCCTCAATCTCCTGACCTTGTGATCCCCCTGCTTTGGCCTCCCAAAATGCCGGAATTACAGGCGTGAGCCATCGTGCCCAGCCTGAAATATTTTAAAATAAAAATTAAATCGTATCTCCCCTCCCATTAAAATACTCTAACGTACTTCCACCTCACAAAATAAACATTTGTCTTGTTTTTTAAAAATATTAAGATAATTATTATAACAATCCTATGACAGAGGTATTCTTATTTCCTCTATTCTAGTGTTGATGAAACTGAGCCCCAGAGAGGTTCAGCAACATATCCAGAGTCACACAGGTTGTAAGCATTAGAGCAAGGAGTTGAATACAGGACATCTATCTCTGAAGGTCATGCTATTAACTACTAAACTATGTTTTCTCTTGATAATTTGATTATACTTATATAAAATAAGGTTTTCATGCATTCTTCATATACAGTGGAGTTATAGGGGACATGAGTTTGAATGCTTGAAAAAATAAGGATACTCTGCCTTCTTTTCTTAATGCTAAAAACTGTCTAGTGAAATTTTATGTCTTAATCAAGCTAGGTCTCACAGGCACAATAATATATGAATTTTACCATTTATTAGAGAAACTGGAGCTTCATTTTAAGCTGAATTCCCTTCAGAGGCAAATAATAGGCTATGGTTTTGTATTTTTAAAAGCTTATGCTATTTGAATGCCACTACTGTTCGTCACTATGAATAGGGCATGGTTAAGCAGACACCCTGTCATAGTTGAAATACATGATCTGTTTTTTTTAATGCACTTCTGCATCTTTAGTTTCATCATATCCAATTATGAGATTATATCTTGCCATCGAATCATTCACCATTCTTGTCTCTTGTTCTTTAGGTGAGATGACAACCAAGACACTAATATTGTAAAAGTCAGTCATGGAACAAAATGTAGAAAAGTTCAATAAGATTTTGAAATAAAATGAGATATTCTCAAAACTTAGTGAGGCAAAGGTTTTTTTAAAGCCATTTTTTTTTGCCCTTTAAAGTGTTCACATTGTGATTTAACCACATTATTACTAGGCAAGATAGGAGAATCTCATTTGATACACTTCATTGTATTTTATATTAAAATTCAGGGATTCTGAGGCTTTTAATGCATAGAAATGTAGCAGAATTTACATCTTCTACTTTAGTAATCAGCCATGTTATTGTCTGTTACCCTTTTCTGATTCCAATGTCAGAAATAATACTTCTATCTATGTCTCAGACTGAATTCATATGTGACTTAGGTTACAAATGAAATATTGCACAATCTTTTTTTAGCAGATATAAAATAAATAGAACTCAACCAGAAATGTAATTAATTAAATATAATTTAATAACACCAGCAACATTTCTTCTTAAAATGTTGACATACTATATTATGACAGAGTCTTTGTAGAAATACATATAACCTTCCTGGCAAACAATTAAGATAAAACTTTATTTTAAAAAATTACTTCATTTTACAATTGTAAAATGCTCACTCCTGGGAAATAAAATACACACTTTTCAAAACAGTTTTCATTACATTTGAATAATGAAAATTATGAAGTGACTGCATAGTTCTAGAAATGTATACTTGCAAATAAATAAATTCTGATTTATCAATATTAAAGCATCTTCGGGGTAGGATGATAGTCAAATAGGTTCTTTGTGGTGTAAGAAACACTAACACAGTCCATCTTTATTTTATTTTTTTCCTCTTGTTACAGACTAGTTCTCCCTATGTTGCCCAGGCTGGAGTGCAGTGGCTATTCACAGGTGCAATCGTAATGCACTACAGCCTCTAACTCCTGGGCTGGAGCAATCCTCCCACCTCAGCCTCCTGAGTAGCTGGAACTACAGGCTCCTGCCACCAAGCTAGGCCTATTTTTGAAGAATAAATATTTTAAGCATTACGTTATGACTTCTACGTGATTTTAAAAGTTGATTTAAAAATTCTACTGTGATATATTATTGGCAAACTACTTTAAAAAATAGTAATAGTGATTATCCTACCTGATATCGAAACTCTAAATTTATCACAATTAAAATACAATGGTATTGTTTTAGGGATATATAGACATACCAGTGAACAAGTAGATCCAAAAATAGACCCATAAAGTAAAGTTGGCTTATGATATTTTATATTTCAAGCTAGAGAAGGATAGACAAGTTAGACAATACTTGCTTGCTGACTTGGAATCAATTTCGAAAAATTAAAGTCCCGACCTACATTATACTCAAATGTAACTAAATGTATTTCTTATGCAAATGTTTTAAAACACGTTAAAATAATTATCAAAAATCAGGAGAATACTTAGAAATCATTTTGAGTGTCACAAATCTTGTTAAGCAAGATAATATTTTATGATTCATAAAGGAAAGGCTGCATGTTTAATTACGTATAATACTAAACTCAAGTAAAGCAAAAAGTTCTCTAAATCAAGTAAAAAGGCAAGTGAATGACTGGATTAATAGTATTTTCAGCATATGTAACCAAATAGCTTTTAAAATTAATAAGAAAATAAAATTAGCAATAGAAAAATAAGGAAAAACATACAAAGAAAAATGTGACACATACACATTCATAAACACATACAGACACAATAAATGCAAATTATTAGTTAAGCATGTAAAATGAGCAGTTTTGGTAGTAGCTGGGAATATAAACTTGAAAAAATAAAGCTTTATTCTCTCTCCTAGGTTAGAAAACATGCAAAAGATTGTTGATATCTAGAGCTGGAGAATGTGTAGATGTGTGGAGTAAAGACAGACTCTTACAATAGCAGGCTTCTGAATTTATAAGTGTATTGGGTTTTGGATGTAGATTTCTCTATTTTTCCCAAAATTTTAAAAGTCTATAAACTCAAAGAAGCAATCTTTTCTAGCTGAACTAATATATATGCATAAAGGAAAACATAAAAGACTGATTACTACAAAAACAAATTTTTGAAACAACCTTAATTTCTATCAAAAGAGAAAAAGTTAATTAAGCTTTAACACATTGATAATATAAAAGTCTATGCATCCTGGAGCTGGACATGGTGGCTTATGCCTATAATCCCAGCACTTTGGAAGGCTGAGGCAGGCGGATAGTTTGAGCCCAGGATTTTGAGACCAGCCTAGGCAACATGCCAAAACTCTGTCACTACAAAAAATACAAAAATTAGCTGGAAATAGTCATGCACATCTGTGGTCCCAGCTACTGGGGAGGCTGAAGTGGGAGGTTCACTTGAACCTGGGAGGTCAAGGCTGCAGTGAGCCATGATGGTGCCACTGCACTCCAGCCTGCGCAACAGAGTGAGACCCTGCCTTAAAAAAAAGGTAAGTCTGTGCATCAATTTAACATGCATATATTAAGAAGTAATGATATGGACAATCTCAACTATATACTGATGAAGGGAGAAGACATAACACATTTACACTGTGATCCGATTAAAATGCAGCAGCATGTTTGCCTCTGAATAGGCCTGTTTGTCACTAAATGCAGAAAAAATATAAGTACAAATTATAAGCATAGAAATATTTGCATTGCTTATTGTTTAAGACGTGAATAATTTCAGTAATCACCTCCTATATTTGCAGTTATATGTTTTAGTTCATCCAGGAAAATCTGTGAATTATCATTCATGCAATTGTGTAAGCACTAAGTTCCTCAGCATTTTATAATAATAATTTCTAAACATCAATTGTTTATTCTGTGACAGGCATTATACTGATAATTAAATTTTAATTCTCATATTCTCCATTAAATAGATTCCACTATTCAGATTTTACAAGTAAGAAACTAAAGCTGAAAAGGTGAAGTAACGTATTAAAGGCCGTACTAAGAAGTGGTAAAGTAAGAATGCAACCTAAGTTTTAACTGGCTTTGAAGTGCACCTGAAAAATGCCCTTGACATTATCCCTTACGATACCTGTCCTCAACTTTCCTTTCTTTCTTTCATATCTGTCCTTTCACATTTTTTGAAAATATAAACCCCTAAAAAACAGGGAATTCAGAAAATAAATTGTAGAAAACTAAAAAAGTCAGTAAATACTTTCAGAATACTGTCTTAGACACTTTTCACTTTTATTTATATTGAATAAACAATTCATTGGAGAATATATACAGCATGATATCAATTATAAGGTGCGTACATGCACATGCACAAGCACTACCATCACCACTTCCACCCAACTCTATGCATTTCTTCCTATTTATTTCTCACTATTTATTTATTGTGTATCTATACTGTTTATTTTCTTCAATGTTCTTGAATTACATGTGAAATATAAATAAGTAAATACATAGATAAATAAAATATTTAATTTTTACTTTTAATCTTTCTTGAATCAACATGTTAATCACAAAAGCTCTCATATATGGTTAAAATCAATCCCCAAATTTGTATATTTCTCTTCTAGTTATATATATTTGTTATCTCTTTGATAATTATGAGCTTAAGAATTCAATTTCTCCCTATGTCATTGTGTTCTGCTTTTAAAGGATACTCAGGTAGGTAATAAATTTTTTTCTCTAACCTTCCTGCTCTTTTTATATTTATTAAAATGTCTTCCCCAACTAACTGCCTAAAACACATAGACTCTCTTTTGGCTCCATCTATTATTTTTTACGTTTAAAATGTTTTATGTTTTCATATTCCCCCTCTTGATTACGCCTCCACGCCAGAATACTCAACATACTGAGAAAACTCATATTTGGTGCTTTTCAGCCAGTAGTTTAGAGAGTGTTAGGATTTATCATGTGCAATTCAATATTACTTCTTTGGTGATTTCGCTGTATGGTGGAAGTAACTTTTACCTGCATTTCAGGCAACTAATATTCACTTCAAACCCATTAGGTTAGTTGTATACTGTATATTATCATTTTCTGCTGGGATAAAACTGATGCACAGAGAACATATTCTTGTTATGGGCATACAGAGGCTTAGGGAGTACAATACACACAATTTTTAAATGTAGCTGACTTCATCATAATATGTAAATCTCTACTTTTAGAAATGTATTTATTACATAGAAATCCTATTTTTAATTAACATATAAATCTTCAATTTTTTGTAAAATTACTTGTATTTTCAGTATAATTAGTACTTTTTGTTAAGGAAATTCCATAATACATAAGAATTTAAAGACACCGAGTGGCACGTCTGTACTGGAATTCATTTGAATTTGTTATCTACATTATTTCTTAATGAAGAAAGCTTGAAGCATCCAAAGACTGGAACAAAAGGAAGAAATACCAGTATAAAGATATTTTTAATTCTTCTCTCTGTAGTTTTTCTGTGCTCCTTCCTGGCCTTGTCTTTACTTTTTCATACTCTCAAACACACTCAAGAAGACATTCTCACATTCACACACAGGCATAGCAAAGCAATATTTTTTATCACAGAATATGCCATCTAAATTGAGGCCTATTTATGCTCTAATCCAAAACAGATCAAATTAAAATACAATAAACTAATTGACCTACAGAGAAAGTTGATTTTTACTTAATATTCATTAACTGATTTTTTTATTATTATTATACTTTAAGTTTTAGGATACATGTACACAATGTGCAGGTTAGTTACATACGTATACATGTGTCATGCTGGTGTGCTGCACCCATTAACGCGTCATTTAGCATTAGGTATGTCTCCTAATGCTATCCCACCTCCCTCCCCCCACCCCACAACAGTCCGCAGAGTGTGATGTTCCCCTTCCTGTTTCCATGTGTTCTCATTGTTCAATTCCCACCTATGAGTGAGAACATGTGGTGTTTGTTTTTTTGTCCTTGCAATAGTTTACTGAGAATGTTGATTTCCAATTTCATCCATGTGCCTACAAAGGACATGAACTCATCATTTTTTATGGCTTCATAGTATTCCATGGTGTATATGTGCCACATTTTCTTAATCCAGTCTATCATTGTTGGACATTTGAGTTGGTTCCAAGTCTTTGCTATTGTGAATAGTGCTGCAATAAACATACGTGTGCATGTGTCTTTATAGCAGCATGATTTAGAGTCCTTTGGGTATATACCCAGTAATGGGATGGCTGGGTCAAATGGTATTTCTAGTTCTAGATCCCTGAGGAATCACCACACTGACTTCCACAATGGTTGAACTAGTTTACAGTCCCACCAACAGTGTCAAAGTGTTCCTATTTCTCCACATCCTCTCCAGCACCTCTTGTTTCCTGACTTTTTAATGATTGCCATTCTAACTGGTGTGAGATGGTATCTCATTGTGGTTTTGATTTGCATTTCTCTGATGGCCAGTGATGGTGAGCATTTTTTCATGTGTTTTTTGGCTGCATAAATGTCTTCTTTTGAGAAGTGTCTGTTCATGTCCTTCTCCCACTTTTTGATGGGGTTGTTTGTTTTTGTCTTGTAAATTTGTTTGAGTTCATTGTAGATTCTGGATATTAGCCCTTTGTCAGATGAGTAGGTAGCAAAAATTTTCTCCCATTCTGTAGGTTGCCTGTTCACTCTGATGGTAGTTTCTTTTGCTGTGCAGAAGCTCTTTAGTTTAATGAGATCCCATTTGTCAATTTTGTCTTTGGTTGCCATTGCTTTTGGTGTTTTAGACATGAAGTCCTTGCCCATGCCTATGTCCTGAATGGTAATGCCTAGGTTTTCTTCTAGAGTTTTTATGGTTTTAGGTCTAACGTTTAAGTCTTTAATCCATCTTGAATTAATTTTTTTATAAGGTGTAAAGAAGGGATCCAGTTTCAGCTTTCTACATATGGCTAGCCAGTTTTCCCAGCACCATTTATTAAATAGGGAATCCTTTCCCCATTTCTTGTTTTTGTCAGGTTTGTCAAAGATCAGATAGTTGTAGATATGCGGCGTTATTTCTGAGGGCTCTGTTCTGTTCCATTGATCTATATGTCTGTTTTGGTACCAGTACCAGGCTGTTTTGGTTACTGTAGCCTTGTAGTATAGTTTGAAGTCAGGTAGTGTGATGCCTCCAGCTTTGTTCTTTTGGCTTAGGATTGACTTGGCGATGTGGGCTCTTTTTTGGTTCCATATGAACTTTAAAGTAGTTTTCTCCAATTCTGTGAAGAAAGTCATTGGTAGCTTGATGGGGATGGCATTGAATCTATAAATTACCTTGGGCAGTATGGCCATTTTCACGATATTGATTCTTCCTACCCATGAGCATGGAATGTTCTTCCATTTCTTTGTATCCTCTTTTATTTCATTGAGCAGTGGTTTGTAGTTCTCCTTGAAGAGGTCCTTCACGTCCCTTATAAGTTGGATTCCTAGGTATTTTATTCTCTTTGAAGCAATTGTGAATGGGAGTTCACTCATGATTTGGCTCTCTGTTTGTCTGTTATTGGTGTATAAGAATACTTGTGATTTTTGTACATTGATTTTGTATCCTGAGACTTTGCTGAAGTTGCTTATCAGCTTAAGGAGAGTTTGGGCTGAGACAATGGGGTTTTCTAGATATACAATCATGTCATCTGCAATCAGGGACAATTTGACTTCCTCTTTTCCTAATTGAATACCCTTTATTTCCTTCTCCTGCCTAATTGCCCTGGCCAGAACTTCCAACACTATGTTGAATAGGAGTGGTGAGAGAGGGCATCGCTGTCTTATGCCAGTTTTCAAAGGGAATGCTTCCAGTTTTTGCCCATTCAGTATGATATTGGCTGTGGGTTGTCATAGATAGCTCCTATTATTTTGAGATATGTCCCATCAATACTTAATTTATTGAGAGTTTTTAGCATGAAGGGTTGTTGAATTTTGTCAAAGGCCTTTTCTGCATCTATTGAGATAATCATGTGGTTTTTGTCTTTGGTTCGGTTTATATGCTGGATTACATTTATTGATTTGCGTATATTGAACCAGCCTTGCATCCCAGGGATGAAGCCCACTTGATCATGGTGGATAAGCTTTTTGATGTGCTGCTGGATTCGGTTTGCCAGTATTTTATTGAGGATTTTTGCATCAATGTTCATCAAGGATATTGGTCTAAAATTCTCTTTATTGGTTGTTTCTCTGCCCGGCTTTGGTATCAGGATGATGCTGGCCTCATAAAATGAGTTAGGGAGGATTTCCTCTTTTTCTGTTGATTGGAATAGTTTCAGAAGGAATGGTACCAGTTCCTCCTTGTACCTCTGGTAGAATTCGGCTGTGGATCCTTCTGGTCCTGGACTCTTTTTGGTTGGTAAGCTATTGATTATTGCCACAATTTCAGAGCCTGTTATTGGTCTATTCAGAGATTCAACTTCTTCCTGGTTTAGTCTTGGGAGGGTGTATGTGTCCAGGAATTTATCCATTTCTTGTACATTTTCTAGTTTATTTGTGTAGAGGTGTTTGTAGTATTCTCTGATGGTAGTTTGTATTTCTGTGGGATCAGTGGTGATATCCCCTTTATCATTTTTTATTGCGTCTATTTGATTCTTCTCTCTTTTCTTCTTTATTAGTCTTGCTAGTGGTCTATCAATTTTGTTGATCCTTTCAAAAAACCAGATCCTGGATTCATTAATTTTTTGAAGGGTTTTTTTTGTCTCTATTTCCTTCAGTTCTGCTCTGATTTTAGTTATTTCTTGCCTTCTGCTAGCTTTTGAATGTGTTTGCTCTTGCCTTTCTAGTTCTTTTAATTGTGACATTAGGTGTCAATTTTGGATCTTTCCTGCTTTCTCTTGTGGGCATTTAGTGCTATAAATTTCCCTCTACACACTGCTTTGAATGCGTCCCAGAGATTCTGGTATGTTGTATCTTTGTTCTTGTTGGTTTCAAAGAACATCTTTATTTCTGCCTTCATTGCGTTATGTACCCAGTAGTCATTCAGGAGCAGGTTGTTCAGTTTCCATGTAGTTGAGCGGTTTTGAGTGAGTTTCTTAATCCTGAGTTCTAGTTTGATTGCACTGTGGTCTGAGAGACAGTTTGTTATAATTTCTGTTCTTTTACATTTGCTGAGGAGAGCTTTACTTCCAACTGTGTGGTCAATTTTGGAATAGGTGTGGTGTGGTGCTGAAAAAAATGTATATTCTGTTGATTTGGGGTGGAGAGTTCTGTAGATGTCTATTAGGTCTGCTTGGTGCAGAGCTGAGTTCAATTCCTGGGTATCCTTGTTAACTTTCTGTCTCGTTGATCTGTCTAATGTTGGCAGTGGAGTGTTAAAGTCTCCCATTATTATTGTGTGGGAGTCTAAGTCTCTTTGTAGGTCACTCAGGACTTTCTTTATGAATCTGGGTGTTCCTGTATTGGGTGCATATATTTTTAGGTTAGTTAGCTCTTCTTGTTGAATTGATCCCTTTACCATTATGTAATGGCCTTCTTCGTCTCTTTTGAGCTTTGTTGGTTTAATGTCTGTTTTATCAGAGACTAGGATTGCAACCCCTGCCTTTTTTTGTTTTCCATTTGCTTGGTAGATCTTCCTCCATCCTTTTATTTTGAGCCTATATGTGTCTCTGCACGTGAGATGGGTTTCCTGAATACAGCACACTGATGGGTCTTGACTCTTTATCCAATTTGCCAGTCTGTATCTTTTAATTGGAGCATTTAGTCCATTTACATTTAAAGTTAATATTGTTATGTGTGAATTTGATCCTGTCATTATGATGTTAGCTGGTTATTCTGCTCGTTAGTTGATGCAGTTTCTTCCTAGTCTCGATGGTCTTTACAATTTGGCATGATTTTGCAGTGGCTGGTACTGGTTGTTCCCTTCCATGTTTAGTGCTTCCTTCAGGAGCTCTTTTAGGGCAGGCCTGGTGGTGACAAAATCTCTCAGCATTTCCTTGTCTGTAAAGGATTTTATTTCTCCTTCACTTATAAACTTAGTGATACACCCTTTAGGCTTCTCCATCACTTTCCTTTTGTTCATTCCATTCACATGTAATTCAGCTCTTCCTACCTTATAATGTATAGATGGAAGGACCATGGACTTCCATTTTGTGGTTCAAGGCTGTCACTGCTAGCTGTGTGATACTACATACGTTATTTAAGTTGGCTGATCTTCAGTTACTCCCTATTCTAAAACTAAATAATAAACTCTAAAGCTAAATAATAACTCCCTATTCTAAAACATTATATTGTAACAAGACATAGATTTCAGTTTATGATAAAAGTTGATTTTCCTTCACTAATCATATGTGTATATGATTAGATATATAAAAAGAGAATAAATAAAATAAAGCAAGTATTGTTATATGTGTATAATATCTAGTACTAAAAGACATTTTCTTCACATATCCAGGTTTGTTGAAGAATGATGTATGGGGGAGAGCTAGGGATTTTTTTTTTTTTTTGAGATGGAATTTCACTCTTGTTGCCCATGCTGGAGTGCAATGGCACGATCTCGGCTCACTACAACCTCTGTCTCCCGGGTTCAAGCGATTCTCCTGCCGTAGACTCCTGAGTAGCTGGAATTACAGGCATGTGCCACAACGCCTAGCTAATTTTGTATTTTTAGTAGAGATGAGTTTCTCCATGCTGGTCAGGCTGGTCTCGAACTCCCAACCCCAAGTCATCTGCCAGCCTTGGCCTCCCAAAGTGCTGGGATTACAGGTGTGAGCCTCTGCACCTGGCTGAGCTAAGGATATTATAAGAATGAAGTATAGGGGGGAGTTAAGAATGTTTTAGAGGATTATACTACATTAATATTGTAAATATTTACATATTTATCCATATATTGATTTAAAAATGTGTTGAATACTGAGTATGGATTCCATACTGTGCTAACAATTGTAAATACAAGATAGGCACAGTTTTTGGTTACACAATCAATATTTCCAATTATAATCTGCTAAACAGGAGAGCAAGTTCCTATTAAAACTATGTAAATAATTTTATTGCCATTAAAATAATACTGAATGAGAACATTCACATGTTAAAGGAGTCAGAAAGGCAGAAAAATGTATTATTTACAAATGTTTCATTTCAGTTGTTAAAAGCATGGTCTACTAAAATTTTATGAATTACATATTGCTTAAGAAAATACAGGAAAGAACTTCTTGTATATTTAGACAATGAAACATTAAAACATCAACAGTATAACAAACAAAATCTATAATCATACCCGATAGGTTAATTCAGTAATTAATTAACTATTATAATTAATTATTGCTCACTCAAACTTTTGCTATTATTCTAATGAACTCAACTGCCTCTCGAATAAAGATTTTTGGTATCCT
This sequence comes from Homo sapiens, assembly GCF_000001405.40. Taxonomy (NCBI): domain Eukaryota; kingdom Metazoa; phylum Chordata; class Mammalia; order Primates; family Hominidae; genus Homo; species Homo sapiens. The sequence goes on along the minus strand of NC_000004.12, from coordinate 131,071,420 downwards.
GATTTGGTCTGTTTGATATGGTCTCAAAGTTAAGTAAAGCCGTCAGAAGCCAGTATACCATAGTATCCGAATAATTCTCTTCCAAAAGGATCCGAGACGGTTTTTTTTTTTAAAGGCAAAACATTTTGGCCTGTAGCTGATTGCAGGTTCTGTCAGGTTAGCATCAGAGTAAAACAGAAAACTATTTGTAGATGACAAAAACTTACAATAATTGTGGTTGTTATTAGATGACACTTCAAAAGAGAGAACGAATGAAAGTTCATTACAATAAAAATGCAACTAATATGAAAATTTGTTTCTAAAGCTTAAAAAACAAGATACTACGAATAAAGTTAAAGCAAACACGATTTTAAGACAAAATATCAGTATGTACTGATGTCTTTATTTTTAAAAGTGAGTATATATTGCATCTTATTTATAAAAATGTTAAACGTAATATTTTTAGAGAAAAAAATTTACATTTAACAAAATTGTAGGACACATAAGAACCCATGAGTAGATCAATAATTATTTAAAACAAACCAAAAATATATAAATAATATCAAATAAAGAAATTAAATAAATCTAGAGTAACTTTAAATGTCTATCTATTAGTAACATTTTATTTATACAAATTTAACTAAGGTATGGCTAAGCAGCTGAGGTACAAGACATACCATTTAACATTTGATTAGGAAAAGGCAAAATTTTAAAAGTTGTTGAGAAATTTGAACGCATGATTAAAATAGAATGATAGGCTACTGAGAAATACTTAACAACCTGTTTAACAGCAAAAGATTTTATAGTTAACCTAGGAGGCAATATGATGGTAAATAACCTTAATTCTCTAAGTGAGAAATCTGGATTTTTTTTAAGTAATCAAGGCCATAATAAAGTAAACATAAACCTTAGATGGTTATTCTAATAGGACCAAATTTTTATTATTTTAAGACATAAGATAAGGAATAAGCATTTACAATCTCTTTTTAAGACCAAGCCAATAATCCAAGAAAATCTAAGCACAAGCACTTTTTAAAAAATCTTGTAAATAAAAGTATAAAATTTAGCTAGCTTTGGTTACAGCTAATAAAATGTCCCTTCTCCAAGCTTTCTACAATTTCTGTTTCCATTTAGATCCTATAATTTCCTTTTTATCATTTTGAAACAAGTAAATCTCTAGAAAAAAACCCTCATTTTTTTCTTAATAAAAATATAATCCTCATAGTACAATTTCTCAAAGCAGAAAAAAGAACACATTTAATAACAACAGAAATTATAGTCTCTCCATCACATATAAAGAAGCAAAGGTATATAAACTTTATATCTCTACTTACTAAGTAATGTTTCAGTATTATATCACACTTAGAAATGAGGTAGTTATCTGTTGAATATCCATTAATTAGTTCCATTTAGTATCAACCTGAGATTTAAACTTACCGAATGATGTTAGAAAATGTGTTTAAAGATAACATACTACAAAACATTACTGAAATAAAATTCATCACAATCATGATTCTTTGGCTAAACATGAATTTATATTTTGTATAATCTTAAACTTTAAATAGAAATAATATTAGCTTATTTAATTAGTATACTTGAAAAAATTTAGGAAAAAATATTCAAATCAATTAAAAATGTGTGCTACTATTTAGTAAACTTAATGCTAATGTCTCAGAAAAAAGAAAGCTGTTTTCATTAAACCAAACATATTAAATTAGTCTTCCTGACAAAGATTTAACTATGTGTAAACTCGAATTTTTTTGTTTGATACTTTTTATCACTCAATTTTTAAAAATTGTGATAAAATATATGTAAAATTTACAATTTTGACTATTTTGGGGTGTACGTTTCAGTGACATTATGTACATTCACATTGTTGGGCCTCATTATCACTATCCATCTCCAGAACTTCTGCATCGTACCAAACTGTACATTTATCCATTAAAAAATAATTCCCTATTCATGCCTTCTTTTAGTTCCTGGTAACCATTAATTCATTTTTGCCTCTAAGAATATGACTATTCTAGGAAGCTCATATAAGTGATGTCACATAGTATTTCTTCTTTCATGTTTGGCTTATTTCACTTAGCGTAATGTTTTCAAGTTTCATCCATGTTTTAGAATGTATCAGAATTTCATTCTTTTTTAAGACAATTATATTCCATTGTGTGTAGATACCATATTTTGCTACTCTGTTCACACATATGAATAATGCTGCCTGAACATGTATATACAGTTATCTGTTCAAATAGCTGCTTTTAATTCTTTTGGCTATATTCCTATAAGCATAATTGCTGGATCACATGGTAATTCATGTTTAACTTTTTGAGGCACCATCATATATTTTCCACAGTGGCAGAAGCAATTTACGTTATCTTCAGCATTACAGAGACCTTTCAGTTTCTCCACAACCTCAGCAACACTTGCTATTTTTTTATCTTTATTTTTGAATAATAGCCAACCTAGAGAGTACGAAGTGGTATCCCGTTGTAGTTTTGATTTGAATTTCTCTAGTATTTAGTGATATTGAGCATATTCACATGTGCTTATTAGCTATTTGTTTATTTTTTTGTGTGTAGAAATGTCTGTTCAAGTACTTTGCTCATTTTTAATTGGATTGTTTGCTTTTCTGTTGTTGGTTTTTGTTTATGTGTGTGTGTGTGTTTCTCTGTGTGTGTGTATATTTCTAAATATTAATTTATTAACAGATGTTCAATTTGTAAATATTTTCTCCAACTCTGTGGATTGCTTTTTCACTCTCTTGATAATGTCCTTTGATGTGCATCCATTTTTAATTTTGATGAAGTACAATTTAACTATTTTTTCTTTTGTGGCCTGTGCTTTTGGTGTCATATCCAGTAAATTGTTGGAAAATCCAAAGTCATGTTTTTCTCTTTTTAATTTATAAAGAAAAGAGGTTTAATTGATTCATGGTTCTCCAGGCTGTAAGGGAAGCATGATGGCTTCTTGGGAGGCCAAAGAAAACTTTCTTTTTTTGTTTTTTTGGGGTTTTTGTTGTTGCTGTTGTTGCTGTTGTTGTTGTTTTGGAGACGGAGTCTCCTTCTGTCGCCCAGGCTGGAGTAGTGCGGTGGTGCGATCTCGGTTCATTGCAAATCTGCCTCCTGGGTTGAACGGATTCTCCTGAGTAGGTGGGACTACAGGCGCGTGCCACCACACCCGGCTAATTTTTTGTATTTTTAGTAGAGACAGGGTTTCACCGTGTTAGCCAGGATGGTCTCAATCTCCTGACCTCACGATCTGCCTGTCTCAGCCTCCCAAAGTTTTGGGATTACAGGCGTGAGCCACCACGCCCAGCCCAGGAAACTTTCAATCATGGCAGAAGGTGAAGGTGAAGGGGCAGCAGTCATGACTTACATGGCCACAGCAGGAGGAGGAGTGTCATGAAGTTTCTTTCCTATGTTTTCTTCTAGAAATGTATAGGTTTAGCATTTACATTTAAGTCTTCTATCCATTTTGAATTAATTTTTGTATATTTTATGCGGTAAGTGTTCAGTTCTATTCTTTACATGAAGATATCTAGTTTCTCTAGAATCATATCTAGAAAATGTCTTTTCTCTATTCATTGGTCTTGGTACTCTTGAAAATTGTTTGGTCCTATATTTGAGGATTTATTTCTGAACTCTATTTAATTCCATTGGTCTATATATCTGTCTTCATGACAGTACCACCCTGTTTTGATTCTATAGCTTTAAAGTAAATTTGGAATTTAAGTAGTGTGAGTCTTCCAACTGTGTTCTTCTTTTTCAAGATTGTTTTGGCTCTTTGTGGGCCTATGCAATTCTGTACGAATTTTAGTATGGGTTTTTCCATTTCTCCCCCCCAAATCATATGGAATTGATAGAGACTGCAGTGAATAATAGATCACTTTGGGTAATGTTGTCATTTTATCAACATTAAGGCTTCCATCAAAGGAAGTTATTCTATTTATTTGTGTCTTCTATAATTTATTTCAGTAATGTTTTGCAGTTTTCAGTATAACAGCCCCTTATTGCCTGGGTTAAGTGTATTTCTAAGTATTTTTTTAAACTATTGTAAATAGAATTGTTTTCAAATTTCATTTCAGATTGTTCATTGTTATTGTGTAGAAATGCATCTTCTGAGTATTACTTTTGTATCCTATATCTGTGTCTTCCTTTACAATATGAATGCTTTTGTTTTTCCTTGCTTGATTGTTTTTATTAGAACTGCCAATACTATGTTTAATAAAAGTGACAAAACAGACGTTTTTTTCTTATTTCTGATATTAGGGGAGAAACTTTCCATCTTTTACCATTGAGTATGATAATAGCTGTGGGTTCTTTACATATGACCTTTATTATTTTAAGAAAAATTTCTTTTACTCTAGTCTCTTGAGTGATTTAATCATGGAAGACTACTGAATTTTGTCAAATTTTGTTCTGCATTAATGGAGATTGGCATATCTTTTTTCCTTTATTTTGAAATATGGTGAATAATACTCATTGATTTTTAAATGTTGACCTATCCTTCCATTACAGAATAAATCTTACTTGGTCATGGTGTATAGTCCTTTAGTAAGATGTTTAATGTCTTTAATTTTCAAGACAATTAATTAATAAATTGACATTTAATTTTCAAGACATAATTTGATATTATGTATGAAATTATGGAATATTTGATATACATAAGTGCATATTTATCTCTAATCTACTTATAATAAAGTTTAAGAGTCTTTTATCATCTAATTTGATAACACTAAGTGGAAGTAGAAAAATATTACATACAATGAAATTTTCTGAATAACAGACATAAAATAACAGATAGAAACATGAATACAGAAAGTATAACTGTTCAATTCTAAAACTCCAGCCAGGGGTCAAGCATTAAAAACAAAAATATTAGAAATTTGCTTTCCAGTGGGCATAAAATTCTTACTTTATTTGAGCTCAAAATATACAAATACACACATAGAAATGACTGGCAATGCAGATTCTCTGCCTTCACAAACACCATGGAAATGAGAACTTTATAAAACATTTATCTGCTTACAGAAATTACCAAATGATCAGCTTATGAGGTGAGAAGAAGTCAGCACCAGATATTGAGTGAGGACCTAAAAAATATCAAAATCAAATCTTTACTTTGCTACCAATGGACAAGAATTCAAGACACAGAATCAGGAACAGGACTGACTGTAATGTCCTCAGATAACAAGTTAAAAGGCTCTGAGAGGCTTTATTACCTCAGTGAAATAAATGGGGATCCCAAAATAAGAGTCTATCCTTTATGAGTATTGGCACTAAACTGTGAAATCAATTAATAGGGCCATTAGGAAGATGATTTTGTTCATATTGTAATAGGACATATTTCCATTAATGAATAACATTTCAAAGAAAAAGGAGTCTGAGACTTGTACACAAAGGGGGCCTTAAGAAAGTCATGTAGAAGAATGTAAGTTGGTCTTACATTGTAATATTCCAGGAAAAGATTTCCCTTTCTTGTATGGAAAAAGAAAGCGATGTTGATGAAAAGAGTCAAACTCTGTAAAATAATTAAAGAGGTTTATTCTGAGTCAAATATGAGGGATATATAGCCTGAGGGATAGCCTCAAGAGGTTTTGAGAACATGCCAAAGGTGGTTGGGTTATAGCTTGGTTTTATACATTTTAAAAGAACAGAAGTTACAGACAGACATCAATCAATGCATGTAAGGTGTACATTTGATGGCAGCAGCAGCCCGTCTAGAGTGGCTGCTGCCATGACGCCAGGCTGCAGTGCAGGAGGTGTAGCCAGGGCTGCACACTCCACGGAGCTAGTGGAGGCCAGGAGCAGGCAGGAGCTCCACTCTCCTGGACACAACTGCAACCACCTAAGCTGCAGCTGCAGACCCAGGCATCTCTGCACTCTCAGTGGCCTGGAAAGACTCCCCTGCCCCTGCAGGCTTGGAGGTGTCTGCTCCCACTGCCTGGCCTTTCCCTGCTTCTGGTGCCCTCTCTGATCTTGGAGCAAGGTTGGGGCTGAGCCAGGGTGCTGTTGCAGCCTGGCCAGGTGTCTGCACACTCAGGGCAGCACTGACACACTAGTCCCCTGTCGCCTTGACCCCCTCTGGACTTTGGGTCCTGATGAGCATGGGAAGGAGACAAAAGGGGTGCTGAAGGCAGCTTGGTACTGCCTAGAGGCGCCCCTTGCCACAAACAGCCTATGAACAGCGGCAGGAGTCAGACAGGCTCTTGGGTGGAAACAGGCAGGTCCCTGGTGTAGCTCTATCTTCAAGTCAGGGAAGGCCTGCCAAGCCTGGGATTCAGGCTGTCAGTCCTCCAGACCAGACTGGGAATTTGTGGTACATTTTTCATGCCTGCCCATGGCTTCCCATGGACCAGTTGGCATGCACTTCCTCCCCTCTGCGGTCCATAAAAGCCCTGGACTCAGCCAGACTCCAGGAGATGATGGGACAATGAGCTGTTGAGAGGAGCTACCCACCCCAGTGTCTCATCTCTGCTAGGGCTGAAGGAACCACGTGATGATCAGCTGCAAAAAGGAGCTATCTGCCCCAGGGTCTCCTCTCTGCTGAGAGCTGAGGAGACAATGGGATAACCAGTTGTGGAGAGGAGCTCTCACCCCAGAGTCTCCTCTCTGCTAGAGCTGAAGGAACCATGGGATGATCAGCTGCAGAGAGGAGCTATCTACCCCAGAGTCTCCTCTCTGCTGAGAGCTGAGGGGACAATGAGATGACCAGCTGCAGAGAAGAGTTACCCACCCCAGGTTTTCCTCTCTGCTGAGAGCTGAGGAGATGATAGGATGAACAGATGCAGAGAGGAGCTACCCATTCCAGGATCTTTCCTCTGCTAAGAGCCAGACACCCTGGCTGTGGAGAGGAGCTACTCACTTCAAGTCTCTTCTGAGCTGTTCTATCGCTCAATAAAGCACCTTTTCACCTTGCTTACCTTCCGCTTGTCCGTGTACCTCATTCTTCCTGGGCTTGGGACAAGAACTCAAGACCCACCGAATGGCAGGGCTGTAAGGGCTGTAATACAAACAGTGCTGAAATATGTTTCTTGCTCACCACATTGCAAATGACAAGAATATGAGGAGAGAAGGAGATAAGAACTGCAGCCCTTCAGGGAGCCCAGACCTAAGAGCTCCCTGAGCTAGGGCTGTGACACCCTCTTCAGGTCTCTGCAGTTCCTGGCATCTCCAAGCTTCTGAGTACCACTGCTTTCCCCAGTGCCAGCTGTGGAAGTGGGTTGTGGTATGCCTGGTCCAACTATAGCCTTGCAGGAGCTGGAAGCCATGCTGGCACCTAAATCTGCATGCCCTACCGCATGCAGCATGCTTGACTGTGTGCAGTGGCCAGACTCCACACTCACTCACACACCCCTTGCTGATCCATGCCTGACTCACCCTTGGAAGGCTTGGGATCCAGGCCAGTAGCATGAGCAGAGTGTAGCCTGCTATGCGAAGTGGGCGGAAAAAACACAGTGGGCCAGAACAAAAGCCAGGCAAAGGCGCCACTGGCCACAGAGGTTTCCGGCTGGTGAAGTGATGCCCCAGTTCACTGGTTCAGTTTGGAACAGCAGGACAACTTAAGCTGGGGCTTCCAGGTCATAGGTGGATTCAGAGATTTTTTGATTGGCAATTGGTTATAAGAGTTATTATTTAAAGACCTTGAATCAATGAAAAGAAGTGTCTGAGTTAAGAAAAGTAGTTGTGGAGACCAAGGTTCCTATTATATAGATCTCATAGGTGGCTGCCCTTGGAGGCAATAGATAGCAAATGGTTTATATTCAGAACTTTAAAAGGTGCTGTACTTGCTCAGCTAATCTTTTCAGGATCAAAAGAAGACCTGGAAGGGCAAAGGGATTATCTACAGAATGTAAATTTCCTCTACAAGAGACAGCTTGGCCAGGCCATTTCAAAATACATCAAAAAATATATTTTGGTGTAAAACATTTTAACTTCTTTCAGGGCCTGCTATCTGTAATGTCATGCTATATTGGAGTCAGGATGAAATTTTTTATTTTATTGCTACAGAGAGTTTTCTTGGTCAGTCTTGAGATCTGTGCTTTAATGTTAGTGCTAGTAAGTTGTGTCTGAATTCCAAAGAGAGGAGAGTATACACTCCAAAGAGTGTTTGACTTTGCATTCATGGCATGAACTCATTTTTCAGGGTAACTTTGGAATCCTCTTGGATGAGAGCAGGGGTCCATTCAGTCAATTAGGGGCTTACAGTTTTATTTTTGGTTTTCAGGGGATTTGTCACTCATTACTTTTATCTAGGAGCACAGGGCTCAGATAAATTTCAACATTGTGGAAGAAAAGATTCAATAAAGACCTAAGAATGGAATACAGTTTCATTTCTTTCCTTTGATACAGTGAAATTTTCAAGGAATCCCAAATCGCAGTCACAGAACAAGTGCTAACAGAAACCTAACTCGTTTGAAAGGAAATACATCATCACTGTTTTATATTTTTAGGCATTTACTTAATAAAGGCATACTTAAGATTTTTAAATTAGCTTACCATATTATGTTTCTTAGATTGATTAATTCATTTATCAATTTATTATATTTATTTTGAAAATTAACATTGTTTATCCATCTATTTTAATATTCTGCAAATACAGAAAATACTTTTAAGATACCACTGAATATAGTCAGTCAGTTGTTCTTGAAGAGTTCCATTGGCAAGAAAGTAATTATTATTATTTTTAGATGCCTTATTTCATGATTAGATAACTATAACATATTTAAAGTTATGTCTTATATTTAAACAATAATGATTTATCTATCTTTCACTCATTAGTCCAATAAAGTCTCCATAATGGAACAGAATAGGTGGGTCCAGATTTTAGAATATAACTGTTCTTTTCTCTAAAAGTACATAAAAGACCAAAAATAACATCTGAAGAAAAAATAGGGAACTAGGCATACACAGACTAAGCAGATTCTGTTTGATATGTTTATTAATGGAAAAGGGTAAGTCTCAAAAGTAACCATATCCCCCAGTTCACAAGAGAGGTTGCCATTATTCAGGAATCAGTAACATTCTTAACGTAGTTCTTACTTCTGAGCTAACTTAAATAATATGGCTTTTATCTTAAACAAAATAAAAATTAGAAGCTGAGTTTCTTGTAGTGCCATTAAAAAAAGAGTTAAGTATGAAAATTGAAATGTTATCTCATTTATTTTTTAAGATATGTTCAGATCAAACATTTTTATTAAGAATATTACATATGTGATTTCATGTACATTCTACTGCATCACAGCAGGGGGCACATAATTTCAGTTTGTCTTTTGTTGGTGAGATTGAGTGCATTAGTCCATTTTCACACTGTTAAAGAAAATTGAAATTTTAAATCCTAGACATATCAAGCAATACAAACATAATAACAAACAGACAAATCATTGCATACTGATTATTTTATTAAAATATATGGTAATTTTGTTGGCAACAAATTTTTCAAAGATTTAAATAAAGAAAATGCTAATGAGAGAGGAAGAAGAAAGAAACCAGTTAGGCAGGCAGTTAGGGCGGGTCCTCATTAGAACTCCTCCAAACCAACAACAGCCTGAAAATCAAACTACAGGCACCATATAAGCAAAAGCCCACATCCATAAATGCAAACACCCACTCTGTGAGCCCAGATGAACAAACTTCACTCCTGTTTTGGGCATGTTTCTCTCCCCTCAGCATGTCTTTATCCCATTGTGTGCACTTCCTCCCTATTGGCTCTTACCTTCCACCTGTTTTACATATACCTATCTTTCTGTGATTGGCTGCCAGGTGAGTCTTCATTTGCATAGAATGAAATGTCACTCCATCCCCTGATTGGTTTCAAGCCAAGTCTTCACTTCTGCCTCCAATTGGTTCTTTACATTTACATTTCTCTTTCTGAATCGTCCTTTATCCAAAATGGCCCACGGACCCGTCTGCACACTCCCTGTCCTTCCCAGTCTGTAAAAATCCTGAACTCAGCCCATCAGCAGGCAAACCTCTTCCCTCTCTGCTGAGAGCTTTTTCTGTTACTCTGCCTTGTTCACCCTCTGGCCTCTGGTGTCTGTGTGACTTATTCTTCTTGGTTGTGGGACAAGAAACCAGAACTCGCCAAACTCCAGGAGCACAAGAACTGTAGTGCTCCAGCTCACTGAACTATGGGCAGTGGGAGTAAAAGAGCTGTAACACTTATTTTCACTCACAGAACTATGGGAGTGGAGAAGCCATTGGGTGCCACTTCCTCCCACTCACCAAGCACTGGAAGTAGGAAAGCTGCAACACAAATACTAGTAATAATAAAATTAAAGAGTTTTTCTTTATACATAACAAATATGTTTTTAAAATTAACACAAATAATTAAGTTCAAAAAGATTCATGGGAGAAAACCAAAGAGCAATAAGAAAATAATCTCAGAACCAGAAGGAGTGAAGAGAATTAGAAGATTACTGTGATTAATGCTATACAAATAATTTTCTAGGAAAATAGAAATGACCTAAAATGATGCCATAAGAGTTGGAAAGCCCCAAAGTATCTATAGAACATATGAATATTTATAAAGAGCTATATCATTTTTAAAAAGCTACCTATTTCAAATAGCTCTATCAATGACAATGAAAATACATATACTCCAAATATTTAAAATATGCATACTCTGTTGGGGCTCAGAAACCATTATCCTGAAATACAGCATTTGACAAAATGAACTAAAGAAGCATCAGGGTTTCTCTGATGCCTCTTCTCTCCCCTCTCTCCCACAAAAGTTGAAGTTTCTTTATCTGCCTAAGATTTACACCCACCAAGAAGAACAATTGAGTTGTCTTCCCCTCCCTGTTATATCATTATCTATTACAGAAAATGAGACCAAGAATGTAACCACATCTGAATAGATCCTTTTACAAGATTATGACTGTCTCCAAGGATCACTTAAATCCAAAAGAGAGGCCAGGAGGGTCACAACTGTACTCCCAGCACTTTGGAAGACTTAGGTGGGAGGACTATTTGAAGCCAGGAGTTCAAGTCCAGCTTGGGCAAGATAGCAAGATCCAGTCTCTACAAAAATAAAAATAAAAATAATAATAAACTAGCCAAGTGCAATGGTGTGTGCCTGGAGTCCCAGCTACTCAAGAGGCTGAGGCAGAAGGATCATTTAAGCCCAGTGGTTGGAGGCCACAGGGAGCTATGACTGAACCACTGTATTCCAACCAAGGGAAGTAGAGCAAGACCCCATTGATTAAAAAAGTAAACAAATAAATAAATTCCAAAGAGAACTATTTACAAGTTAATTTCTGTTTACTGATCCAGTCATTCATCAAAGTAATCATTTATTGCCCCTCAATATAATTCTGTTTCTCCCTCCTCCCATAACCCAATTTAACAGGATCCAAACTGCCATTCTTTCTTTAACCTGTGAGCTTACATAGTGTGTAAGTTTCTGTACCTCACTGGGAGGTTGAATCTTCATTCCGAAGGCTCCAGTGTATATGCATTAAATAAATGTGTATGTCCTTTCTCCTATTAATCAATCTGCCCCATGCCAGTAATTTTTGGAAAACCTGTGGCAGGTCAGGTCTCCATTAGCAACCAGAGCAGCCTTCACCAACACCTTACTGTAACTCTGATGAATGTATAAATTAAACATTAAAGAACTGGAGAAACTGGTGCCTTAGAACAAAGGCTAGAATGTAAAAATAAGTCCATTAAGACCCCGTCTGGGCTTTCTCAGACCTTAGACTTTAATTAAAATAATATTGCACACCTTGTACCAGGACTTACTTCAGATAAAGTAATTGTTCTTAGGCTCTGAAGTAGTTTTCCAGACTCCAGACCCTACTTAAAGATTAGAAAGAGGGAAACACTTCAGCTTGCAGGTGTACTCCACACATAGAAATATGGTTTGAATTTGAATAAGCACTGGAGAAAAACTTATAGCTTTGAGTTGATCTGGTGAGTTACTCCAACCTCCTCCCTGTAACTGGTTGTAGAAGTAAGTACCCCATTCAGTACAGAAACAAATCTTTTAGGGGTCAAGAGCCTTGGCCTCCCCAACTTCAAATACCTTTAAAATTAAAAAAACATAGAAAACTGAGGAAAGGGGGAAAATATTTCTAATTTTTTAAAAGACAGATAGCTTTATGTCCAAATGAAGATATCACGAAGAAGTTTCTTTAGTTAAACTAACTCAGGTTTTGAATAATAATTCAAAAATTCTAAATAAAGTCGTAACAAAAATAATTCACATTAACTTAAAAAATAATAGTGCACAGCAATCAAGTAAATATCCTACCAAGAATACAAGATTAGAAATGCATTTTTATGATCAATTAAATAATCAGATTAAATATATAATTCTTTCTACAAATGCTGAAAAGCATTTTATAAAATGCAAAATAATATTAAATATTATAAGATTTGGAATAAATGGATAATTTTTTAAATTCTTGGAATATATAGAAATAGATAAAAAAGAGTTGGCCAAAAAGCCAACTTCAAAGTAATGAAACAATAGCAGAAATTATCCTTTCTAAAATAGAAATAAAATAGATCCCCATGATTGACATTATTATGTAACATTGTTTAGGAGACGGTAGCTACTATAATTAGAAATGAGAATAAAGAAAGGTATCAATATGGGAAAGGATATAGTAAAATGTTTATTACTTGAAAGGTAAATTTGATTACCTTGAAAGCTTAATGTGATTAACTTAAACATTTTATAAATTATAATTTAATAGATTACTATGTTCCAAGTTAATATTTTATAGGAAAAGTATACCTACAGAAAACAATGTCCAGTTTGAAAATGAAACGGAATAAAAGATTACATGCAGTATTAAAAGCGCAAATAATAAAATTTCAGCCACAAATTTAATAACAAGTATAAACGTTAGTATTGAAAAAAAAATTTTGTCGACTTTGTCAAAGATCAGTTGGTTGTAAGTAAGTGGCTTTGTTTCTGGGTTCTCTATTCTTATTCCATATCCTCATGTGTCTATTTTTATACCAGAACCATGTTGTTTGGGTTACTGTACCCTTAATGTGATGCTTCCAGCTTTAATCTTTTGCTTAGGATTGCTTTGGCTAGTTGGGCTTTCTTTGGGGGGGGAGGGTTCCATATGAATTTTAGAATTATTTTTTCTAATTCTCTGAAAAATGACATTGCTAATTTGATAAGAATTACATTACATCTGTAGATTGCTTTGGGCAGTATGGTAACCTTAATTATATTGATTCTTCCAATCCATGGGCATAGGATGTTTTTCTACATGTTCATGTCATCTATTATGCAATTTCTTCCATCAGTGTTTTGTAGTTCTTCTTGTAGAGATCTTTTACCTCCTTGGTTAAGTATATTCCTAGCTATTTTATTTTATTTTTTCTTACTGTAAATTGGATTGAGTTCTTGATGTGGTTCTAAGCTTCAACATTATGGGTATTTAGAAATGCTACTAATTTTTGCGCATCAACTTTGCATCCTGAAACTTTACTGACATCATTTATCAAATCTAGGATTCTTTTGGAGGAGTCTTGAGTGTTCCAGGCATAAGATTATATCATCAGTGAACAGAGATATTTTGACTTCCTCCTTTTTAATATGGATGCCTTTTAATTATTTCTCTTGCCTAATTGCTCTGCCTAGGACTTTCAGTATTTTGTTGAATAGGAGTCATGAAAGTGAGCATACTTGTCTTGTTCTAATTCTTACTGGGAATGCTTTCAGTGTTCCACTGTTCAATATGATATTGATTGTGGGTTTGTTATATATGACTTTTATTATTTTGAGATATGTTCTTTGATGACTATTTTGTTGAGGGTTTTTACTAAGAAAGGATGCTAGATTTTATTATCAAATGTTTTTCTGTATCTATTGAGATGATCAAATGGTTTTTGTTTTATGTGGTTAATCACATGTGTTGATTTACATATGCTGAACCATCCATGAATTGCTGGAATAAAACCAACTTGATCATGGTGTGTTGTCTTTTTAATATGCTGTTGGATATACTAGCAAAAAGACACCCTATTCAATAAATGGTGCTGGAAAAATTTGAATAGCCATAAGCAGAAGCATGAAACTAGACCCATATCTCTCACCCTAAACAAAAATTAACTCAAGATGGATTAAAGACTTATATTTAAGACCTAAAACCCTAAACATCCTAAAAGAAACCTAGGAAAAAGTCTTCTGGACATTGGTCTACACAAAGAATTTATGACTAGGTCCTCAAAAGTGAACATTAAAATACATAGACAAATGAGCCTTACTTAAACTAAAAAGCTTCTCACAGAAAAATAAATAACCAATATAGTAAATAGACAACATACAGAATAAGAGAAAATGTAAAATATGCAACTGACAAAGTGCTAATATCCAGAATCTAAAAAAAACTTCAACAGCTCAATGAGAAAAAATTTGTAACTCAATTAAAAAGTAAGCAAAGAACATGAATAGATATTTTTTGAAAGAGGACAAGCAGGCAGCCAACAAACATATGAAAAAAATGTTAAATATCACTAATAATCAGGGGAATGCAGATTAAAACCAAAGTGAGATACCATTGTGGCAGTCATTTATACCATATGTAAGATACTATTTTATACCGGGCTATTATTAAAAAGTCAAAAAACAAGAGATGTTATTGAGGATGTAGAGAAAAGTAAACTCTTACATATTGTTGGTAGAAATGTAAATTAGTACAATTTATGGAAAATGATATGAAGGTTTCTCAAAGAACTAAAAATAGAACTACCATTCAATCCAGCAATCTGACTACTATGAATATATATACATATAAGCTATCTCTCCATATATGTGTATCTATAAAATTGTGTGTGTATATATATATGTATGTGTGTGTCCATATATGTATACATGTGTCTTTATATATATATGCATATATATGTATCTATATATCTGTGTATACCTATATCTACATATCTCTGTATTTATATGTGTATCTGTGTACACATATATATGTGTATATATAAGGTATGTATGTTTACGTGTGTATTCCATTATATGTACATAATGGAATACTACTCTGCCATAAAGACATAGAGAAGAATGATATCATGCATTTTGTAGTAACATGGACAGAAATGGAGGCCATTATCCTAACTGAAATAACTCAGACACAGAAAGTTGAATACTACATGCTCTCACTTATAAGTGGGAGCTAAACAATGGGTATATATGGATGTATAGAGTGGGAAAATAGACCTTGGACACTCCAAAAGGGGAGTGGGGGAGGTTTGAAAAATCATCTATTACAATGTTCACTATTTGCGTGATGGGTACACTAAAAGCCCAGACTTCACCACTATGCAATATATCCATGCGACAAAACTGTACTTGTACCCAATAAATCTATAAAAATAAGAAATTTAAAAAAGAATAATAAATTAAAAAGTTAATACATTGTCGAGAAGAATACATGGAAAGAACCTTCTCAATGAGTAGAAACTGAATATCATTAAACCATTAATACCCTGAATATCTAAAAGATCTACACATTCCATATGACCTTCTAAATAATATAAGTAGAATATATATATGTGTGTGTGTGTGTGTGTGTATATATATATATATATATATATATATATATATATATACACACACACACAAATATACTTATCACAAACTGGTTTTCATCGACACAATAATTAAGGGAAAATAGCCAGGGAAAATCTAAGGAGAGTAATAAACCCTCTTTACAGATACATTAGACAGTACAAGTCAAAGTGGTGATAATTAAGTACTGTAATTAAATTTTATTCTGTAATTATATTCTTCTGGAGTAAAAATGGTTAGACAAATCAGTGAGAAATATGGATAAAAATGAAAATTAGAAAATTGAAACCATGGTGATATTTTAATAAGTTATGTTTACATTTTGTAACATTGGTTTAAAGAGCAATTATATGATATGGTTGTTTGTTTTATTCTTGTAAATCTGTTGAAGTTACTTGTAGATTCTGGATATTAGACCTTTGTCAGGTGGGTAGATTGCAAAAATTTTCTCCCATCCTGTAGGTTGCCTGTTCACTCTGATGACAGTTTCTTCTGCTGTGCAGAAGCTCTTTAGTTTAATTAGATCCCATTTGTCAATTTTAGGTTTTGTTGCATTTGCTTATGGAGTTTTTGTTATGAAATCTTTGCCCATGCCTATGTCCTGAATGGTATTGCCTAGGTTTTCTTCTAGGATTTTTATAATTTTGGATTTTACATTCAAGTCTTTAATCCATCTTGAGTTATTTTTTTTGTATAAGATGCAAGGAAGGGGTCCAGTTTTAGTTATCTGCATATGGCAGCCAGTTTTCCCAGCACCATCAAAAAGTGGGTGTTTCAAGACTGTGTAGGAAGGACGAGTGGAGCACTCAAGTGGGAGGGAGGGAAAAACTAAATCTTTGTTACTCTAAGCAAATATCACAACAAAAACAGCCTTATAACAAGAGAAGACAAAATGTAACCAAATCTCAACAAAAATATAACCAGAAGCTTATCAGACCACAGGAAGAGTCATCACCGGAGTCAGAAGGCAGATGCTGGGGATCCTGCCATTGGAGTTGGGGCATCCCCAGCACAGGACAACAGCAGCCTTCAGCTCCTCCTTCAAGTAAGCTCCGTTTATTAAGATCAATTGTTACTTTGGGCGCCCTCTGTTGTTTGCTCAGGAGGGCACTTGCCGAGCAAGCAACATTGAAACAGTGGCTCCGGGAGCAGTGTTCTGGGAGCAGTGCTCCAAAATGCGCTTCTGGACTTGAACAGTCATTCTGGGAACAGTGTCCAGGTATGTGTTCCAGGACGTGTGTTAATTTCTGGGCTTTTAGCCAAATCTTACACAAGGTGCTTACCTTTTCAATTTTGATGCCTCTGCCTCTTATAGATACAGGCAAATTTTTTTAAATGGCATTAGTGTGGCCAATTTTTCCTCTTCCTACAGTGGGCGAAGGACATGAACAGGCACTTCTCAAAAGAAGACATTTATGTGGCCAAAAAAATATGAAAAATAGCTCAACATCACTGATCATTAGAAAAAATGCAAATGAAAACAATGAGATACCATCTCATGTCAGTCAGAATGGTATTTCTTAAGAAGGCCAAAAACAACTGATGCTGGCAAGGCTGTGGAGAAATAGGCAAGTTTTTACACTGTTGGTGGGAATGTAAATTAGTTCAACCATTGTGGAAGACAGTGTGGCGATTTCTGAAAGACCTAGAGGCAGAAACATCATTGGGCCCTGCAGTCTCATTACTGGGTATATACTCAAAGGAATATAAATCATTCTACAATAAAGATACATGCACACGTATGTTTATTGAAGCACTATTTACAATAGCAAAGACATGGAACTGAGCCAAATGCCCATCAATGATAGACTAGATAAATAAAATATGGTACATATACATCATGGAATACTATGTAGCCATAAAAATGAATGAGATCATGTCCTTTGCAGGGACATGGATGAAGCTGGAAGCCATTATCCTCAGTGAATTAACATAGGAACAGAAAACCAAACACCGTATGTTCTCATTCATAAGTGGAAGCTGAACAATGAGAACATGTGGACACAGGGAAGGGAAACAACACACACCAGGGCCTGGCAGGGGGCTGGAAGGGAGGGAGAGCAACAGGACAAATAGCTAATGCATGCAAGGCTTAAAACCTAGATGATGGGTTGATAGATGCAACAAACCACCGTGGCACACATATACTTATGTAATAAACCTACACGTTCTGCACTTGTATCCCAGAACTTAAAGTAAAATAAAAATTGAAAAATAATAATAAAATAAAGAGCAATTATAGTGAGGTCTATTGAGTGCCATTGAAAAAAAATTCAGCCTCTACTATTTTCATAATAAGAAATTATGAATTAATAATTTTTTAAAATATATATTTTATACTACTGGAAGTAAAGTTTGACAATCTGGGCATTTACTATGTTGGATTCAATAAATGGAGTGATATGTAGGCATTGTATTAGGTATGGTAAGTAATCTGGAAATGATTTAAAGTATATGGAGGATGTGCATAGATTATGTGCTAATACTATTTCATTTTATAAAAGAAAAGATCACCTGTGATTTGGGATCTGCAGGGGTTTGGGAATGAATTCCTTAGAAATACCAAGGGATGACTGTATACAAATTACTTAGTGTCTAGCTCATTGTAGGTACTCAGTAACATATTTGCTAAATGAATGAATAGATATTATTAGAAATGCAGGGTTAGGCTGGGCATGGTGGCTCACACTTGTAATCCCAGCACTTTGGGAGGCCAAGGTGGGTGGATCACGAGGTCAGGTGATTGAGACCATCCTGGCCAACATGGTGAAACCCTGTCTCTACTAAAATACAAAAAATTAGCCAGGCATGGTGGCATGCACCTGTAGTCCCAGCTACTAGGGAGACTGAGGCAGGGGAATCTCTTGAACCCAAGAGGTGGAGGTTGCAGTGAGCCGAGATCGTGCCACTGTACTCCAGCCTGGCAACAGAGCAAGAATCTGTCTAAAAAAAAAAAAAAGAAACAAAGAAATGCAGGGCTAGCAGTTCAGAAAATAGCAGTGACTGAAAGATGCCATCAAGGATCCATGACTCAATTTTTCCATTGCCTCATCCATAGGGTGTTAGAGAACTGCTGCAACTCCAGGCATCATGTGGCTATTAAGAGAACTGAGAAAGGAATAAGCAATGGCTTTTAGTCTGTCTTTTTATCAGACAAGTAAAATATTTGCAAGTCCCCCTTAGCAGAACTGTACTCTTTTTGTGTATAACTGGGATATATCATCTTCTTGCTAAAATAGATCTGAGATCATAATTATTTAGTAGCCTGTATATCTAAACTGAAGGAATCAAAATGAAAATCAGGCATGGAATATAATATTTATGTTCAACAAGTAAAACTTCAGCTAATGAAAATTAAATGAATGCTAAATATAAACATATTTTTATCTTATATCAAGTCAAAACTCTTCTTTGTTTAGTGTAAAAGTACTACTACAAATCCAAAAGAAGAAATACTAGAAAATTAAGAAATGGACAAAAAATTATCCCGATTGATCTTCTCCTTCCAATTTTGTCACATACAATTAGTGCTCAACTTAGCCTTAGAGTGATACTTTTACAAATGTAGCTTTCACTCCAGTCCTCTGCTCAAAACACTACAGTGACTTCAGCAAAATCCTGCTAAAGATAAGTTAAAACTTTTCTTATATAATCCAATGCCTATATTCTTTCTCTTCGCCTTCTAGTCGCAAGAGAGGTGCTTCACCATGAAAATCTATAAACCTCCACTTCTCTCGTCGGCTCCCACTTGTCTTGCACGATGGCTATAGCCTTAAATTCCCTGACAAAACGAGCAAACTTGCTGTGTGTTATTCAGACCAGGGTTGTAAAGAAGTAATCATTGCTTTCTTGCCTTTTTACTGTCTTCTAACTTAAGGCAGATGATGATAGGCATGGGCAGAACCAAGGAGAGAAGTGTCCTTCAATCACTTCCTGGAAAAAAGCCAGCCACTGGAGAATGAACACACACACACACACACACACACACACACACACACACACACGCAGGCAAACATGCCTGGACCACTACATGAATACAAAATAAACTTGTTTGTTAGTCTTCTTAAAATTGTTAGATCTTAACTGAGATATTCTTATTAATACTGATGATGAGACTATTCATTCCACTGTACTGAGAATCCCCTCTTCCCTCTTATCCCAAATGATATCCCTGTAGTAGGCATGTATATATGACAATTTAAGATGTATTATTTTTTCACATCCCATATCTTCTAAGATATTTTCTCTCTTACAAGGCTCAGGGGTATAGAAAACCTCTCCAGGCTGAACATGTTGGTTCACACTTATAATCCCAGCACTTTGGAGGCCAAGGCAGAAAGATCAATTAAGATTCAAAGTTTGTGATCAAGCTGGGCAACATAGTGACACTCTGCCTCTACAAAAATTTAAAAACAAAAAATAAACTGGGCGTGGTGTTGCATGCCTGTAGTCCTAACTACTTGTGAGGCTGAGGTGTGAGGATAACTTGAGCCCAGGAGTTTGAGACTACAGTGAGCTGTGATCAGTTGCTGCACTCCAGACTGGGCAACAGAGACCTTGTTTCCTGAAAATGAAAGAAAGAAAGAAAAAGGAAGGGGAGGAGAGGAGGAGAGGGGAGGGGAGGGGATGGGAGGGGAGGAGAGGAAAGAGAGGGAACCTTTCCAAGACATGCTGATAACCAGGGGTAGAGGGTATCAATCTTTATGAGATATGGCCTCTATTTTTAGTACCTTAAGTTCTTCCAAATGAATAATCTTTAGGGTATCATTATTGCTACCTCACAGTTGCTATTATCTTGATCATTTTTTGTGAATGTGTAAGTGTGTGTGTTTGTGTGTTGCTGTCTGCATTGCTATATTGCTAATTTCCACTGCACTTTGCAACTCCTTTTGCATCTATTTCCTCAATAAGAAAAAGTCTGTTAGTCACTAAGCAATACGGAATGTTTTATTATATGCTATTACTGATTCTAAATTTTTAGAGATGGCATCTCAATTATTGCTTAATAAAAAAATTATTAGACATTTATAATATTTTTCTTATTTTAGAGGTAATAAAAGTAAATTGCGAGGAAGTTAAATAAAGTGCCAAGGTCACGTGGCTAGTAAATAATGAAGCAAAATAGAATTTAAACACTATTCAATACTGTTTTTCCCCAATCTACTCTATTGGCCATTGGGAAAATGAGGAATGGCTTTCTTTGGTTCAGGTGTTAATTTCTGATTCAATTAGTGGTGCTCAGAATGACAGTATTATTTAGGACATAACATGGAGACATTTTATAAATTACAAACAGGCATTTTTCTCAGATTTAGGGTATTGGAGTGATTCAATACTGTAAACTGTCCAGCTCAAATATTAGATATATCGATTAAGTCTGATCTCCTCTTCCTCCTCCTCCTCCTCCTCCAACTCCTTCTTTTTCTTCTCTCTCTCTGTCTTTTTTTCTCCTCTATCCGCATCTATAAGTTTGTCTCTGGCTTTATTTAAACTCTGTCCTCAGCTACATCACCACCATAGGTACATATATATATTGTTTAAGTAAACTCATTATTTCTAGGATGATAATTGATCCCAGATAATAATAAATTTTTATTTTAAATTTAAAAGATATTGAGGCCAATAAATTAATTTAAATTTGCAAACTCTTTACTATAGCATAATGATGATATCAACCTAAAATGAAGTATTATGCTGTAATTGAGAATCAAAATTTTATAAAAATGTTGTATTGCAAATAGCTTTAAATATAAAACAAGAACTAAATTAGAAAAGGCTTTGAATTTTTGAAAGATAAGACAGACACAAAAATGACTTGCTCACGCTTTATGTGAACATATATACTTAGGTTATTTTCATTTGCCACTTTATGAAAATCCAAACCATTGCTATATAGAAGTGTGAATTGATAGCTGGTATTTAATATTAAAAAATACTTGTAATTTTTCACACTGGGATACACTTTATACATATATTTGTGTTGCACCATGTCATAAGCCAACAAGATAGTTTCCAGTTTGACACATCAGAAATGCAATTTAATTCTGTCAAAAGAAACACAGGAAAGATATAGCTATTTCTGACTTCACAGTAAAAACAATATACAAGTTTTTTTTGTTGTTTAAATGAAACATTTTTTAACTGAGAGCATGAAATGCTGAAAGAAAAATAAAACAGTGAGAAATTATTTTATTCTTTCAAAATTATACACTGTATGTTTGGAATTTTCAATTAGATTCTTTTAGAGCAAAAAAGTTTGTTATGCTTTTACAATGAAAATAAAATTAGCAGATTTATAATGCCAGTTAATAGTCTCAACTGTTATATCACATCAGTGAATTTTTAAGACATTAACAATTATTGATTAGTGTTATCATATGATTATTTAAAAAGTAAATACTAAAATACATATCATAAATTTTAGTTTTTGAATTTTAGGACCTTAAATTTGGTTAAATTCAAATTTATGGATTTAACTATATCATGCATGATAAAATACGCAAAAAATATGTCTAAATAGGGAAATTAGCTTAAATATATTTTAAATAGGGAAATTATGATTGAAGACACTATTTAGGTGGAAATTTATCAGTTGTAAGTATAGAAAGATTAACTAATTATAGGCCCAAACAGGGCAAACTCAGAAAACTTTGGGTATCTTGCATTATCAGATAAGAAATACTTGTATTTCTCATTATTAGATTAGGGATACTTGAATTTCTAACGTGTTCTATCTTCAGGTATTAAGAAACATCACAAACACTAAAAACAGAAGCAAAAATCAACCACATTTTATTCAAAGGAGAGGACTTAACACATTTTCTAAAAGAAATCTCTTTTATTGAAGTCCAGCTATTGTGGCTGTACTGGTAAGGCTGATTTTGGTAAACTATCTCCTGGAGGTTATGAGTATGACTAAAACATGAAAAGACATCTCATCAATGCATAATCACAGTTTACAATTTGACTCCAACATTGGGACATATATTCTGAGAGATATTTGTTTCTTCTATGTCATGTGCTTGGGAGATTAGTTTAAGTGGCCCACTTATGTACTATCATGATATAGCAGTTTCCATGTTACGCTTCTGAATCTGCTCAGAATGTCTTCTTTTAATAGTTTAAATTTCTAACATGGTTTTTGGCAGATAATGGGCACTCATATATATGTGTGTGTATATATATATGCAGTTGTTAATAAATGAGTAAATAAATATAAAACTTAAATTTTCTATCTCATTATATAATGAGATACATTGAAGTGGAAACCTTCATAAGATGAAAATTGAATCAATCTTTTGATTTTATAATAGGGATTTTTCTGTGGATTTACTTAATGATCCACTGGTATGTCTAGGAAACTACATTATCAACTTTTAACTTTAATAAATTAATTAAAAGTGTGTATTTTTATTGTCATACTGGCATAGAATCTGCCCTTGAGAAATAACACTGTTTTTCTGAAATCTTTTTTCTTTGTTAATTTGTTTTGTTTTATTCTAATATAATGGAATGATGAAATGGGGTACAAATTCAATGACTGACCAACAAGGTACCAGAGAATGTAGTCATTACTTTATGTATGTTATTTCACTAATTTCTTATGATGCTACGAATACCTGTTACTGTTTTTATCTGTGAAAACAAAGTTAATCAACATAGCTTTAAAAGTTTGGCAGTCTATTGTAGTGCTAAATGAACAGAAATTTCACAATTGACAAATTGAGCTAAGATATCTATCTGAATTTTAATTTTGTACTTCCATGAAATAAGAATAATAGTACTCACAGCTTAAGGCTGTTGTGAGAATTACATGATATTATTAATGAGAAAAGTATAGTGCCCAATACCTAAAAATGTTCAATATTTGCTAAGAGAGAGCAAGATTAAATAATGTGTCAAAGATCACAAAACCATGAATGAAAGCAGGGAATTTGATCATTTTATATTATCCTTTGTCCATTTATTCCACAAAATCTACACTGGTTTAAAATTACATAGAAAATAAGAACTTTTAAATAATCTTTAGGTTTTCTAATTATTTATTACTTTTTAAAATTATTTTAATACATATCTCTAGTTGTTTTCATTGATTTAGTTAACCATGTTTATGAGAGTTAGCATTATCTTACCAAACTTAAAAAATTTACAACTCTTTGCATACCTGTTTAGATTTAGTAGTTCACATAGAAAATTCCCTAAACTGACACTAAAAGGATATTTGTACGAAAAGATTGTAGGACAGTGTGGTAGAGTAGACATACAGAGATACGAGTAAGTATAATTCAGATGGATAGATTATAATTTCAAGGGTTTATTGAGACAGACAAACAGTTTTCATCAGGTAAGTTGGTATCTCTAAGTACTCCTTAGGTTTTCACCATCATGCCTGCCTGTCATTACTATTAAAGTTCTCAAGGTTGATTTATCTTTCAACAGTACTGGTTTAAAAAACAACTGAATACACTGTTGATTGTTGTGTCCTGCTGCAGTGTAGACCCAACATGAATTAGCAAATGGACTCAAAATCAGATAGCTAAGGATCAGGTTCCTTTATTCTCCAAATTCCATGATGCTTTTCAAAAGAATTCAAAGTTTATATTGTAAATGGGATGCCCTAAAAAGCACCAATACTTCAAGGAAACAAAAACAAAAGCTTCTTGGACTATAGACATAGGAGTTGGGACGGTAATTTTTCATGTAGCACGTCACGCTAGTTATTAATATGTTGGTCTCCCGGCTCAACACCCACCTTCTAATTTCCCCTGTGCATTGCTGGGCTGGGGTTGTGCAAACTATATTTCTCTTGCCAACTGATATTCTGTTAGGTGCTTCCAATAGAAGGTGCTGGTAGGTAATGAGAATCTGGAAGGACAAGCAAAACTTGTTTCTAACACCAAGAGGTAGCATTTGCTGTGAATGACTGAAACAGCTTGGGGGTGGTATGATTTGTGTCCATACATAGCAGTCCAAGGAGAAACAGTGTTTGTTGTTGCTGCTTCTGTCATTATTTTTGTGAATCCAGAATAGAGTACCAGAGCATTTTCAATCATGTTTTAGCAAGTTTGGGTATACAGACTCCAGCCTGGGAAATTAATATCTTGTGTGCTCCAGATATTACCTTTTCTTTCTTTATGGTCTTCTCTTGGCTCGTCTTCGGTTGTACGTATAGCCCTTCTGTGTCCTTTGAGGCCAATTTCCTATAGTAAATGTCCAGTATTTGAACTATTGACAATGGCATCAATTTTCTTTATCTGACTGATGTATATGATGCAGATTCTCAAAGCTCACATAGAAGAGATATTTTCACATTTATGTCAGATATTTAATAACTCTGATCCTAAAATATATATTTTCTTCAAAATTATTCCAGTCATATACACTTTTTGCTGTTGCTAATGACTGCATTCATCTATACATATTATTACGAGATATGTAAACCAGTTCTTAGATTGTGGTTCTAATGAGACCTACTTAGTCTCTTAACACCTCATTTTATGAGAAGAAATACTGGGTTCAAATGACATAGATAATTTCCTAAACACTTTTAAGAAATAAAATTATGCTATTGATCTCAGAGTGGCCTAAGTAGAGAAATAGAATATTTAACATAAATCCATCTCTCATAGATCTAAGACCGTAATGCTCTGAAAAGGAACCAGAATCATTTTTATTTTGAATCATGAATATACATTTGCTTAGTGATCACTAACAAATACACATTTTTCCTCATGAAATTTGAATTTATGATTAGCTGCATCTTTAAATTGGATAATAAATAGTATGTCTCATCCAACTGATTAAGAACAAAAGCTCTGGCAACTAAATAGCTATTTTTGAAAGCTAACTTCTCTAGTCACTACCTCCTTGACTCTAGTCAGACTATTAAATACCTCTGGATCTTGGTTCCCATTCTGTGAACCAGGTAAAACAATACTGTCAGCATCGCAGGATGGTTTTAGTGATTAAATAAGGTGTCACTTGGAACAGTGCTTGAAACATATTAAATCCTCTATAATTGTTAGTTAATATTATTATTACTATTACTATTTTCTCTAAAATGGCAGACAATGGTTTTAAATAAACAACACTAAAGGAATATTTTCACAGATTATCATTTTGAATCATAGTATATGATTTGTTTAAAATAATTTGCAAATTCAAAGTAAATATTAGTATTCTTACAATTAAAATGTCACTACAGAGTACATTTACAGTAATTATTTGAAACATAATTGGCAGATGCTACTATATATAATTTATTTTTGATTTCATGGGTATTATGTACATGTTATGATTGTTTGATGCACAATATTATATCAAGTTTAAATTTTACTAAAATAAGTCAAAGCTTTTAGTAATACTAGTTTGTTGGGCTGTGTCTTCGTATCATACCATAGGTTAGGACCTATGATAAGAGGCAAATAAAGAATGGGAATATAGTCCATGCCTTCTCAAAACTCATGATATGCCTGGGCTGGATAGATGTATTGTCTAGTAACTATAACATGATATGATGAACATTGCACCAGAAATATGCTCAAAACTCTGTGAGAACATAACATCTTGATAATAACAACGATATCTAGCATGTAAAGGCATTTTTCAGAGATTTCAATAGGGGGATGATTTTTGGGTTAATAAATGTAAAAGAGGAGCAAGATTTTAGGTGAGAGATTGCAGTAGAAAATGCACAGAGGTATTCAAAATGGCCCTTTTCTTTGTAAATCTTCAAGCAATATCATAGTTCAATTGCATATGTGAAATTGATGAGAGCTGTGGTGTAAATTTTAGGAAAGTAAAGAGAGGAGAAAGAAGAGAGAGAGAGAAATATTCAGCTAGTTGCGTGAAATTCTGACCAGTGTATAAATGTGTTCCATTCTCATCACGTTTCCCTTTGTCTTAGCCATAAATATATTATTTTGGAGAATATTATTTTAATCTGTCAGAAAAAAATAATACTTAAATAATATTTCTTTCTAATTTATACCTCTAAATGTTACTCATCATGTTGGATGTATTCAAAATTTATATATTAAATACATGTGTATTATATCATATATTCTGTGAGCTATTCTGTAAATTCACATCTAAAATAATTACCAAGGCTCCAGTTATATGGATTCAAATTATTCTTAATTCAGAAAACTTTTTGGAAAATTTCATGTGATCTTTATCTTTAATTTTGTATGTGGAAGTTAGAAAACAAAACTTTTACCCTTAGTCTTTGAGTTTAGGTGAGTTAAAAGCAACAGCTTCCTGCTTCAGAGTTTATTATTTGTTTTGGACAGGCATGCTATTAATGAACAACTGAAACCTATTTTAAACAGAGATTCCTCCCCAGAGCCTAGTATGAAGTGTATGATCACTATGCACTCTACTGACAAAATCTGGTACTTTTAAGGAACATCCAGGGTTAACCTATAGCTGTGCAACTCCCTGGCTTGTCTTTTTGAGATGAGAGTTCCACAGCATGTTGAAAGACACTCTTCTCTCTCCTAACTAATGAGAAACAAGCCTACTGTCTGGGCAAAAATAGTGCAGAGAATGTGCCTCAGAGGGATCGCTGAAACTATCCAGAAAATTATATTCAGTATCATTACTGATCTCAGTATAGTGTTTTTCATATCTTTACTTGGAAAGGACATAAAATAGAATTTGAAAGCATATGGTGGAGACTAAATCATTGACTCTAACACAGATAGTTATCTACCTAGAAAGAAATATTTCACATATTATTTAACTATAAATCTCATAAAACATCTGTGTTATTTGCTCTATTTGGTTATCTAAGCACAGATTGTACATTATTTTCCTAGACAAAACAGCTAGCTGCATGAAGAAAGGAACCTATAACAGGACAATTCATTTTGGCCAATATCCCAAGTTGGACAGTAAGGAATTAATATACCTACTTTTCTAATGTAGAGCCTTTTAATTGTAAGTAGAATTTGCCCTTCAACTTGATTCACCAACTCCTGGGAACATTAAAGGGTATCCTGTCACTGTCTTATTGTCCTCCAATTCATTTCCTATATTTTATTCAAAGAGATCTTTCTATGAGTCAATTCTGAGAACTTTCCAGGAAATCTGCTGGAATAAGTACAGTCAGAAAAATGTCTTTCCTGAAAACCCCTCCCACCTTTATAATCCACAACAATGAACCATAGCAAACTTATTAAATAGTATAATATAAACTATATATCTAGGTATCTAGCTATCTTATGCAGTATAATTTGGATCAATTTGAAACAGTAGAGTGAAAGTCTGCATGTCAATCCTGTGAGCCCAGTATAAGTAAGTGGAACACATTCTGAAGGGATCATTATAATATAGCCTAATAAATAAAGGTCTACCTTCTTAAATTCTTTGGTATATCTGTCTATTAAAAATCAGAGTATTTCAAATTTAAATAGGCAACACTTTCATAAACAATACATGGTGTAACAACTCCAGTAGAATTTGAAGTAATAGTTGCAGAATAAATAGAATATAAATAGTCTCATGTAAATTAAGGTCTGTATAAGATATATATAAGATACATTAATGAATTATCCACCTCTCTCCCACAAAAGATTATTCTTAAGATATTTATGGATCTCAGACGTGGATGAAACACAGTGAAACCTTTAATAACAATTTCTAAAAACTAAAGGCTTGGGAAGGGTATTAAAAATATTGAAAATATCCACTTTAAAGCCAATGTATCTCAGTGGATGAACAATAACTTCAAAACAAAAGAAAGGGCCTTGCAGCCACATATTGAATATTTTTGCATAATCCTCATATGCTAACAGGAAGGGTAAAGGACTAGAGACAGGATAACTAGTGCAAGTAGGAGAGGCATGGGAAACCTAATCTTTGCAGGAAAATCTTTAGCCTGATTAACCAGAGATACACAAATTTGAGGGGTTTATTCTAATGCAACATTTCCTGAACAGGCTTGTTCAGTCAGAATTGGGCGAGCAAACTGACATCTGAAATCTGTGTGTTACACCTGCATTGGGAAAGATATATTTCTCAGGACACTCGAATGCTTCTACTTGTAGCACTTAGATTCTTCCATCATTCTTTCGTAAACCTAAATTCAAGTAAATAAACTCAGCTATTTAAATTTAAAAGCTGATTTGATGAAAGTATTAGAAAATGATAAGCTGAGAATTTTATTTTCTTTTATGGCCCTATTGAAAGAATATATTTGTTTAAAAAATCAAACATGCAGCTATTGAATTATTTATGAATCAATTTTGTTATCATTTCAAGTCCTTGATTTGAAGTTTTACCAAAAGCATAATGTCAATCAATTTA